>NC_000006.12:157040486-157192002 GCF_000001405.40 Homo sapiens
TTTTTCCTACTAATTCTTTATACTTGTATGCTTTGCCTTCTCTTAAGCGAAATTAAATTTACAAGCTTAATATTGACTTAGCACAAATTTGTCAGTCTTACTGGAAAATGAGTTAAATACACTGGGACCCAGAAATGAAAACAACTTATTTTTGTATGTACATGTGGCGAAACTACAACCCAGGGAAACAAGTGTGCAGTCTCGCAAAACTATCATGACTAGCAAGGTTGATCTGAGAGTAACTTTTTACTCTAGTCAAATGGCAAATATCTATGTTCTACTTCTTACATCTTAATTTTGCACAAATAGAGATTCATTGTTTTGTTAGGCTTATCTCATTTAAAGGTAACTTAGAATTTGAAATGCTGAAGCTGTTTCACAGTATAGTAGACAATAAGCACTTCCGCTGTTTTCCCGTGGTTTTAGTTTTTTCCTCTGAATTTAAGTAACTTTTATTTTCTTGAGTTTGTTTCTATACAGGTCTAATTAAGATAATTATTTTTAAATTATATCTACTTATAAACAAGAATTTGAGGTGAATAGAAGAGGTGCTTCAAAATAAAAAATGGGTGAATATATGCCTTTGTTAGTAAAGTTCTGAAACTGTAGACCACTATTCTTATTTTCAGCTTTGATCATGATTTGAATATATTATAAAGTTTATAATTCTATAGAAAAATAAATCAGAAGTCCCAGCAGCCACCAACATGGGTTGGTTCTTTTTATAGGATAACCGTGCCTTGTATATCATTAATGAACTAACTAAAGCTGCTGTTGATAATGGGATGATAAATCAGCTAAACATTTATATGTGTACATATGTGATTACATTACTAAACATAGGGAAAAGACTGAAACATTGACTTGTTGTTTATGGATTCTACATATAGTAGTATAGAAAATTATAGTAAGGGGTGTAAACAAGAAAGGGGTATGTAATTAGCCCTGGGTCATTAAAAAACATGTAAACATAACTTAATAAACTTCTTAATAAATTTCTTAAGAAATCTTACTAATCTAATAAGTTACTTCAAAATTTCATGACTGTGAATGTTCTTCATCTTCTGATTAGGTGGCTAAGTCCAGAATTAGAAAAAAGCACGTTTTTATTTAATCCACTCTCATATGAGACGTGGACACTGTTGTTATCCCCAGTGTTAGGTAAGGAAACAGGAACTCAGAGTCTAGAACTTGCTCAAGTTCACGCAACCAATCAGTAACAGAACTGGGATTTGCACCAGCAGTGTCAGCCCCAGCACCTTCTCTGTTTTCTGAATGTCCTGATCACTGATGGAACTGATAGGGTGTACCCTGTACCCGCCTCTCAGTCTTTACTCCCCATCTTCTTAGCCACCATCACCACTGCCCCACTCAACTCCTCTTACTAAGGTCCCCAACGACACACCCAGATCTAGCAGAGCAGTTCACTACTTGCCCTGTGCCTGCCTCCTTGCGCATTTGACCTAATGGACTTCTTCCTTGGCACACTCTCTTCCTGTGGCTTCCTCAGCAGCGTTTTGTTGATTCACCTCCTACAGGTCTGGCCTCGATTTCTCAGACTCGTCTTCCTCTTCACAGACAGGCAGTAATGTGTTCGATTCTCCTCTCTGCTACATAAGCCGCTAATACCCCACGTTACACCTTCCCCTCCTCCTCCAGGGTGTATTCTTAAATATCCTGCCGAATGAATGAATATGCATAAAGCCATGACAAAGATGAAAACATGTATCTCTTGTTCAATACAGTGTATTTCCTGGGGTAAATTCTTAGGGCTTGCCTATTTGACAATAACGTAATTTGATTCTCAAAATAATTTTTAAAGACTTTTCCCTTTGAAAGATGGAGGGACAGAAATATGTATTACCAGTGTATTCATTTGCTATACCTGTCTTCCGGGCTAAATGGACATCAGAATTCCACAAAATCAAAAATATTTTGATAGGGTGTTTTGGCTGACATGTTCTTTGGGAAGAAAACTCTGAATTTTATGACTCTTTTTATAATATTTGATATAAACTATTAAAAATACATGTGGAGAGGTCAGTTTAAAATGAATTACAAGGATAATCAAGGGGAAGCATATTGTATTACTCTAAAAAAGAATGAGAAAAAGAAAAATGATGCAATTTATGCTATCATTGGGTCCCACAAGATCACAGGAGCCCTCCACTCCTTTTTTTTTTTTTTTTTGAGACAGAGTCTCACTGTGTCACCCAGGCTGGAGTACAGTGGCGTGATCTCCACTCACTGCAGCCTCCACTTCCCAGGTTCAAGTGATTCTCCTGCCTCAGCCTCCCAAGTAGCTGGGAATACAGACCTGTGCCACAACGCCCAGCTAAGTTTTTTGTATTTTTAGTAGAGATGGGTTTTTACCATGTTGGCCAGGCTGGTCTCAAACTCCTGACCTCAAGTGATCTGCCCGCCTCAGCCTCCCAAAGTGCTGGGATTACAGGCATGAGCCACCGCACAAAGGCTACACTTAACTTTAATCCTCTTTGGTGATAATTTTTAATATTTGTTTTAGGCACCTAAAATTTATTACTATAAAAGAGAAAGGTCTAAGCTAAAGTATCTGAACATAAGATGTTAAAGTAAATCCTACACTTGTATTACTTTTTACCTGTATTTTGGTTGATTAGATATCTTAGAGAAAAATAACATCAGCGTTCAAACTGGTCTTCCAACCCCCAACTAACAGAGTCCCTTAAATATCCCATGCCCTTTGCTGCCCTTAGCTTCCCTCCAGCCTAGTCTCCACCTTGCCTTTCCCCTGAAATGCTTACCCTTCCTCTTGCTGCATTTCAAAATCCTGCTTTCCCTCCAGGCTCCATTCTAACCTCTCTCTTCTATGATTTGTCTCGGCATGGGCGCCTTCTGAGCACCATCCTCAGAGCTCAACAGTTCTCACTGCCTTTAGGACTCATTTGGAATTTCTCATCTGCCAACTTGTTTTGGTGTTCTTTTGTATTTGGGAGACAGCGTGATATGGCCTAGCCCAATTCTATTACGTGGCATTTTCCCCCATAATATGGTAAGCTTAGAGAATCCATTTTTTTCATCTTTTTATATCCATATTGACTTTCACATGGTAAACAGTGCATAAGTACTGATGATTAAGAGTTTTACTGATAGTGTTAACAATTGTCACTGCTAAGAGCATAAAATGTGTGATATTAACATATCACTACTGTGTTCTTCTGTATTCTGGGATTTCCTTGCCGATTCTCCTGTTATCTGGGCTAATATGTGAGCTTGGCATTTCCTATTTAAGCTCTGTAATGCCCACCTTAAGGAAGATATATTCATTGTTAATGTTTGTTGAAGCTATTGAGTGGGTATGGCTGGCATCAAAAACTAGTTGGTTCCTTTTAACCTGGCTTATCTTAAATATGTTCATTAATCAGGTTCTGCAGTTGTATTCATTCATATCACTCTACTTCTTTCCACTGCTTTCCATTCAAACAAATATCTATGGGATATACGTGTTATTTGTCAAGTACCAGGGATGCAGTGGTAAGAATAATAAGTCCTTGCTTCCACGGATCTTACATTCTGGACACAACATTTGGAATGATCTTATGTCAGAGAAAAATCCAAGAAGAGATGCAAAGTTTGGATATAATTGTATGCTTTTCTGTTGTTTAATTGTCTTAATTGAATCTATTTATTGTATTCTACAAAATGGAATGGATTCCAGTTTGACCTAAGGAAATTATAAATAACAAAAGGATTAGTCACCCGTAAATATAATTTCAAATAGAATAAAAGTGGAAAATTTTATTTTATCTTTTTAAAATAAGGTATTTTCAACTGTGGAAAATGTGTAGCCTGAGGATCATATTTGGCAGTGACTTAAATTTGAGCTGCTTTCTGTCTTTTGACATCTGATCATTATGAAAGTATCTGTATTTCACTTCCCTCATATAAAAACAAAATGATGCAGTCGTTAACTATAGGATTTATCATACTGGCTAAGGAGGAAACAGAAAAAAATACAATGGCAACCCATGTCTGAATGGGCCTCCTGGCTCAAGAACCAAATAATGACCTTTGGGAAAAAGCGGGAGGTTCACTTGTAGCTTCCTTTTCTGATCCATCTAACTTAGAGGGCTCCAGTTTGAATTGTGTTAAAAGTCCATTTGTTTTTAGTCATTTCTGACTCTGTATCTTTTGTTACATTTTTCCAGTTTTAATCATTTCTCATTGCTCATTTTGGTTCTGTAGAGCTGTGCTATCCAGTGTGGCAGCCACCAGCCATGTGTGGCTATTTAAAGTATTTAAAGCTAAATCAAATTCAAATATCATTTCTTCAGTTACACTGGCCACATCTCAACAATTACATGTTGCTGGTGGCTGCCACACTGCCACAGTGCATAGAGAGAGGCGTCCATCTTAACAATGAGTTCTGTTGCCTGAGCTGGTCTAGAAAATACAGGTTCCAAGTATGTAGATGACACAGACAGTTTTTAGCATAACAGCCATTTATATAATATATAAATGTTCTAATAACAATTAGAACAGCCATTTTAAAAATTGATTTAAACACTAGGGATTTGAAAAGATAGTAGAAAACAGAAGGAATTTGCTGTTCAGGTAGAGTGCTATAAAGCAGAGGGGATGTTCTGCTTAGGAAAGAAAGATAAACTACTATAAAGTTGACAAGTTTCATTAGATTTTGAGAATAGAAAAGTTTTAAACAGGGTCATGAAATTTGACATCCTTCTAGAGTGACATTTGTGATGGGTCATTAATTCATTGATTTGCCTAAGATATGCCCCAGGCTACCAATATAGTATTTTGGATTTAGAGTGTTTAGTTTTGCATTGTAAGATTCTACCCAATAAAATAGTTATTTCTTTTATGAGTGTAACCACATGAAAACATATACTAATTTTCTGTTTAAAAACATTTACCATATATATTTTTTGTCAAGCTGCATTAACTCTGGTTCTTCTCTACTCTTTGCGTCTTCTTAGCGGGACCTTTTTTTTCTTCTGTGAGACAGAGTCTCTCTCTGTCACCCAGGCTGGAGTGCAGTGGCACCATCTTGGCTCACTGCAAGCTCCACCCTTAGCGGGATGTGTTTTCTAGTGAATTTACTTGGCTAACTCTCTGAGTGAGTGTGACTATAAGTTAGGTGAAAGTATATTTAAGATAACCAATGTCATTGAAACAAAACTAGCAAACAGTTTTTTTGAACTCATAATCTTATGAACTCATATTACTTTTCATAATATGAAAGATTTGTTTTTACATTTTAATCTTTTTTATTTAATTAAAATCTGTTCAAAACCTTTAGAGCAGTAGAGGACCAAGTTTATTCCATACTGTTTCAATATTGACTCAAACTTAAAATTATAGAATATATATTGTTAAAGCAAAAAATTTACTGTTTCCGCTAAAAGAAAGATTCAAGGGGGTGTGGGGAGAGGAATCTGCAGTGTTTCTCTAGGACCTCAAGGATCTCAAGTTCTCCCGGATGTGGGAATCCAGGAATCCATATTGAGCTCTTCTCTTCTTTTGTTAGAAAATTTCCCAGCCTCTGCCTCTGCCATCTGCTGGTAGTTCAGACAGTTACATGTTTGAGTTTAAAACAAATTTGCTTTATTTTTATTTAGAAATGATTTGGGGGAAATACTTTATGTATATTTACCTGTAATATTTTGATACAGTTTTCTTTGTTAGGTTTAATTATCTTTTGAAGGGATATTTTAGCTTTTTTTCCAATTTTGTCTTTAGAGGAATACACAAGTCTAAAACTCAGAAAAGACAAGACTGTGAGGCCAAAACATATGCAGTGAAGAGGCAGGTTAGAGCCCTGTTAATGAAAGGCCTGGAGTGGCTGATGAGGAGTTACTTGAGAGCTGTTAGGGGTCTCACCTGATGTCTGGCTTTGGATTAAATATGGAATAGGATTTTTTTCCTGCCATTTTATAATTAAGACTACTTGACTGGGAGTTGAACAGACCCATATTCTACTGTAAGTCCCATTGTGAGGTTGGAGAATTGATTTCTAGACATCATTAAATTTATTTCCAGCTCTAAAATTCTTCAGGTCCTTAATGCTAACAGGCCTCCTGTATTCATTGGAAGTACAAGTGTTTTACCATTTGTTAGTCTTCCATTTCTTCTTGCTGATGTTTCCTAGACTAAGATATTCTTGTTGTCTTGGGAAAAATAGAATTTTGTTGTTGTATTGTTGTCCACAAACAAATCCTTTCATTAAGTGAAGCCAGGCAAAAATTTTTAAAAGAAAGGTAAAATATAGAAATTTTATTTTCTGCCACCTTTAGTCTTCTTTCCTAATTTCCTTTAGAGCTGCTATGGCCAGTTACTTTTCAGCATTTTTCTCAAAGAGAAAATGTAACCTAAGATTTTTTCAATTTCTTTTTTTCACAATGAAAAAGGCTGAGGGAGGGAAAGTGACTTATTTTAGGCACTGTCTAGTGGTAAAGCTCAGCTAGAAGTTGCTGCTTCCCAGGCCTGTGTACTTTATGAAAAAATTCCAGCAATGCCTGTGTTGTTGTTTTTTTAAATCAGTCCTCTCAAGTTTAGGAACTCTATATTAGGTTACATTTTACAGAATTGGCATTTCGCAGCTCAAAAAATGGTGTAATGTTGGCAATTTCATATGGTTCAACCCAATGTACTAGGACTCTAATATCATTTTAGATCAGCTTTCAATAGTGAAAACGGTATTTTTCTTTAAAAGTAGTTTATTCCAATTGGAATGGGTATGAGCACACTCTGTGAGGTATTAGGTGATCACGAGATGTTTGTGGAGCTTAACTGACATGAGAGTACCCAGTAGGCCAGAAAGCCCAGCAAAGAAGGTGTGACGTTTCCAGAATATGTTTTGGCATTATATGCAAAATCAGAAGTAGTATATTATAATCAGAGGAGTTCTTGGTGTAATAGGAACTCCATTTCTTCTAGACCAAGTATTCTGTCAGATGATGGTAGATGACAGAGTGTTTAGATAGATTCATTGACAGCATCGCGGCTGTCCCAAGATCTACCAAGTCCACTGTGCAGAAATGTTTGCCCTGCCTTAGTGATGGTGAAGATAAGGTGAGTGGAGGGACCATAATTTAGTGTAGTTCATGCCTGCCTTTGTCAGATTCTGTTCATTTTTGTAAAAAGACGTTAGGAATTAAACATGGCCTCACGTGCTATGTGTCTGAAAAGTGGTCTTTTTAAGAGAGCAAGGAGTTATGCTGGAAGCAAGCTTATTTACTTGTATAATTTAGAGTTTGATTGACTCCATGTATCTCTGGGGACATTATTTTGGCACTAGTTTTTGAGGACTTAATTTTCTAGTAATAATAAAAATGCATATATTCTCTTATCCCCACCCTCAAACACCTGTTCATTTGGGACATGCACATGTAATTAGAGGCGTGTTTCAGGACTTGCCTGTAAAATTCCTTTGCATGCAGTTACTGTGATCATATTAGTAATCATCAAGCTACTTGAGATTTTGTTGGGAAGAAGCAAAGAAAATATCCTAGGGAAGATGGGGGTGATTTTGATTGCGTGTGTTTTAGGTTCTCTGCACTGCCAAGTTTTAAAGCAGATTCTGTTTCTTCAGATGGTGAAAGCCCTCCTCCTTCCCTCCTCCTGCCTTAAATTTGGCTTCTTCCCAAGCCATGTCAATTTTTGCAAGTCAGTTGAGAATGTCAACGTGGCTGGTGTTGAAAGAGCCAATATGTTGGAATATGCTTAAAGCCAAGTAGAACATTTATGTGAATTAAAGAATATATCAGGGATGATTTTTAAAAATCAGATTTGGATTAAGAAACCTGTTGAATTAATACTTGCATAACAGATGTATCACTGATAAATACTTGTAAAAGATATTCCCAAATAAGCAATAAAAGTACCATTTTACAACCGAAGTAATGCATCCTGTGGGTCCATTTGCAAAGATATGCCAACAGAAATGCATGCAGAGCTCTGGAAGTGATAATGCAAATAAAACATTTCACATTATAACTTAAAATAACAAGTTTGGAAGGAATAAAAAGTCTGGGAGACTATTTGTTTTGTCTAAATTCTGCTTTTACTCTGGTCTTTTAACAGTTGGCTTTTGATAATGTATTACTGCCTTAGTGTGTTCCTGTGTATTGAAGGAATACATTGTCTGACAGAATTGTGGTTGAAAATATTACAAGTTCTAAATAATAAGAGTAATAAATATCATATCTTGTTTGCTTTGTTGTCATAGTCGCCTGATCTCATGCTTCCCTGAATTCGGCTGGTGTCTTGATTACGATGGAATCACTAAGCAGAGAGTTTTGCCATGTGTGATTTATTCGTTTGTGCATAGCCACAGCAGAGCATCCATGCAGCCCGCAGTGGCTCTGTGTTCCAGTGTGCCAAGTCACCAAGACTTGCTACCTTAAGGCCAGGCGCAGTGGCTCACGCCTGTAATCCCAGCACTTTGGGAGACTGAGGCGGGCAGATCACTTGAGGTCAGGAGTTCAAGACCAGCCTAGCCAACATGGTAAAGCCCCATCTCTACTAAAAATACAAAAATCAGCCAGGCGTGGTGGTGGGCAGCTGTCATCCCAGCTACTCAGGAGGCTGAGGCACAAGAATCACTTGAACCAGGAGGTGGAGGTTGCAGTGAGCTGAGATCATGCCACTGCACTTCAGCCTGGGTGACAGAGCAAGACTCAGTCTGGAGAAAAAAAAAAAAAAAAAGACTTGCTGCCTTGATTTGCTGCTCACTGTGCCCAGCAAGGCCACTCTGCCATGGCCGATTCTAGACCGTGGCCAAGGTGGGATGAAGCCTTCTCTCTCTCTGGCCAGAGTGCTCCTCAAGTGTGACCTTCCTTTGGTAGCTGGGCAGTTTTCTCCTTGCAGTAGGTGTGGCCTTAGATGGCCATGTGAAAAGGAGGGGTCAGTGTGAGGAACTGGAGAGAAGTACGGGGAGGGACAGGACTGGCCCTTGAAATCGGCGTAGAGGAAGTTAAGTCCTACAGGAGATTTCTTTTTTTTCCCCTAGCTACACATGGCAGTTTAAAGCATTTAATTGGCTGTTTCTTAAGAAGCCATGTACATTTTTATAAGAAATGTCTCTTAACCTCCCTTCACTCTTCCACAAATTAAGTTTTCCTTTCAGAATAAATTTTTTTGTATCTCATTGAGGAAGAGGGGAGGTGAAGAACAGAGCAGCAAATGAATACATATTATTTATAATGAGAATTGGATATAGGCTTATCTTATCCATTAAATATCACGGTAAAATCAATAAAATTTTAAGAAGTATTCTAAAATTAATTTCAAACAAATTTTCGAAACATTTCTAGAATTTTCTTTTTAAATCTTCACATTACATATTAAAGCTTCTCACATTGTATTCCTATTTTTGTCTCATTTAAGTTTTAATCTCCTCATAAAAGGATAAGTGTCTTTTCTTCAGTCATCTTAATGTGTTAACCTGCACTTCATATCATCATGATTTTAAAACATGCATTGAATGCTGCTACAGTCCAAGAATAACAACGCCTGTGGCCTCCAAGGAGTAAGGGACCCCTGGAACATCAGCACCAGCAAAAGGAAGAGAGACACTCTCAGTTGTGGGGTGTCTCTCCCTGACTCAGCCCCCACCTCACTGAGGGTCTTCCATCCCCACAGTTTCCATCTCAGATGCCCAGAAGAATGGGAGGGGCCAAAGGAGCTCCACTTTGTATATCATCAATGAAACCCCCTGTACCCAGTCCCCCAACAAGGAAGAACAACAGATAACTCAATTTAAAAAATGTTACTTGTGGCTGGGCATGGTGGCTCACTCCTAGAATCCCAGCACTTTGGGAGGCCGAGGCGGGTGGGTCATGAGGTCAGGAGTTTGAGACCAGCCTAATCAACATGGTGAAACCCCGTCTCTACTAAAAATACAAAAATTAGCCAGGCGTGGTGGTGCGTGACTGTAATCGCAGCTACTCAGGAGGCTGAGGCAGGAGAATTGCTTGAACCCAGGAGGCGGGGGTTGCAGTGAGCGGAGATCACACCACTGCACTCCAGCCTGGGCGACAGAGCGAGAATCTTATCTCAAAAATAAAAAAGTTACTTGTGATAAATGAATAATTTGGGAAGAAG
Source organism: Homo sapiens (assembly GCF_000001405.40). Taxonomy (NCBI): domain Eukaryota; kingdom Metazoa; phylum Chordata; class Mammalia; order Primates; family Hominidae; genus Homo; species Homo sapiens. The sequence continues at coordinate 157,050,591 of NC_000006.12, forward strand.
AAATCCTGAGTTTTATGATGCAGAAGGTATTTCTTTATCATGTAGACACTTAGAGGGCTTCAATTTTGGTAGTAAATAACCTTCATTAAAAAAGTTAATTTTTTTGTTTTACCTTCATATGAGCCCTGTAATAGTACTTCTAATGACATCATACTCATAAAATGACTTTTTTGTTTCCTGATCAACAGTGGAAAGGTTTATGATGTGCTATGTAATAGTATGTGCAAACATCGCAGGCACAATATTAATAGATGCACATATATGTGTGTTACACATTAAATATTTCCCATTCACACATGTATGCATTCTTTCCTTTTACATAGGAGGCCTAGAGAAGTTGACCTCCCTAAAGGATAAGTTCTAAAAGGCAGGAAATGGAGATCTGCCAGGCTTGTTGGCTAGAGTCATGGACAAGAGCAAGGCCTGTCTGAACTGCCACTCAGTTTTTATTCTGCGCATTTGCAGGGCTGGTGATTAGAGTGGCTTTCGCCCAATTATGCTGTGATTATTCTGCTGCACTGTAATTGACTGGGGAGATATGCTAATACCTGTCATTTGGGATGATAAAAGATGAGCGGGGGACGCAATGCATTATTTAGCTGGCTGTGTGATAGATGAGGGATGCGCAGAGTGCTTTAATTGCTGAGAAGAGAGGTTAAGCTGAACGAACGGATGAATTAGAAATGAGTTTTTTTATGGCTTGTGGAAAAGTGAAATAAAGGAAAATGTGCCTTAAACTAAAACAGCAGATAGAAATGAGCACAACGAAACTAGATCTTCCAGGCAGCTCCCTTTATCCATTTAAATGCTAACGGAAAATGCAGTTTGGAATTCAGTAAATAATAATTGGAATAAGAATTTACAATGGATTCTCTTATTAAGCAAAAAAAAAATGTTAAAGGAATCGTTTTTATTTTAGATGACTATTTGTAATCTGTAACCTCTTAAATTCACTCTGTACTTTAGGTTATACTGAAATGTAATATGCAACAATTCTGAATTTTATAGTTTGTATCTTTTGAATGTTTGAATGCTAGACTTCTTGTGCCTGTGTATCTTTCAATAAATGCAGGCAGAGGAAAGAAAAAAAATGAATATTTATAATACCAGGAGAATGTAAAAATATAATTAGAGAGTGTACAGATGATTCTTGAGTAACAGGATCTGAGGCAGTTGGTACAGTCCTCGTGCACCACACTCTTAGGTATTGATATTTTTATGCAAAAATAATTATGGAGAGTGGTATATTTCTTTTCATGTTGTTTCTTTTGTCACATGATATATTACTTTGTAACCATATTTCATAAAAGTATTTAAAATTCTCTTGTTATCTGTATGGTTATTTATATGATTAGATGTATTTTGCTTTATTTTAGTTTTGTCAATTTAATTAATAGGTAATTATTTTGAAAATGCCACCAGAACAGCAGTTTGCAGAAAAAGACTGTTAAAAACTGAAGGCTGAGGCCTTCTATATATTGTGGGCTTCCAGGTACGTCGTATTTTACCAAGTAATGACGTAGGAAAATGTCTCCAATTGTGCTATTTTGTCTTGTAGGTGAAGCAATGAAAATAAAGGTTGGATAACAGAGGTTATTTATATATATATGTAGTAAAATGAAGAAACTGATCCTCGTATATTGTTGAATTATCTCTAGACAGTCAAGCTTCTCAGCCTGTGTGACTTATCTCATATAGAAGAATTGATCAGGGAATAGCTTTCAACTAGGGTATTGAATGGTAATAGATCCGTGTGGAACCAAGTCGGCCTGTTGGACTGGATGTCAACTGTAGACAGATGCCACTCTCTGCTACTCAAATAAGTTTTGTTGGGGCTGATTACTTTCCCCCAATATAATTGGCACCTTTATTTGCACATTCCTTGTGAAACAAAGTGAAGTTTCCTATGGATATTTTCATCAGTGTCCTTGGAATTCCAAAGTGGACTCTTGTAGCTGTGTAACTTAAACAGGCATAATCTGAATGGCTGCTTATACAGAATATCTTGTAAAGCAAAACAGAAGTTGCAAAGGAAAAGATGCACTTTGCCTCAAAGAATTTAAGAAATGGACAAAGATTGGACAAACATAGCAACCTGTACCAAACAACAGCACCTAAGAGCAGTTTTCGTTTGTCTGTCTGTTTTTTGAGATGGAGTCTTGCTTTGTCACCAGGCTGGAGTGCAGTGGCGGAGTCTCGGCTCACTGCAACCTCTGACTCTCTGGTTCAAGCAGTTCTCCTGCCTCGGCCTCCCGAGTAGCTGGGATTACAGGCACATGCCACCATGCCCAACTAATTTTTGTATTTTTAGTAGAGACGGGGTTTCACCATGTTGGCCAGTATTGTCTCGATCTCCTGACCTCGTGATCTGGCCATCTCAGCCTCCCAAAGTGCTGAGATTACAAGCGTGAGCCACCACACCCAGCGCTAAGAGCAGTTTTTACCAGCCTGATTTACAACAGTGCAAAATATCATGAAGAATTATTTTATTGATTGATTGATTGATTGATTTAGGGACGGAGTCTCACTCTGTAGCCCAAGCTGGAGTGCAGTGGCATGATCTCGGCTCACTGCAACCTCTGCCTCCAGGGCTCCAGCAATTCTCGTGCCTCAGCCTCCCGAGTAGCTGGGATTACAGGCGCCTACCGCTATGCCTGGCTAATTTTTTGTATTTTTAGTAAAGACATGGTTTCACCGTGTTGCCAGGGTGGTCTTGAACTCCTGAGCTCAGGCAATCTGCCCACCTCAGCCTCCCAAAGTTCTGGGATTACAGGTGTGAGCCACCACCCCTGGCCTATCATGCAGAATTTAAGCTAGCTATTCTGAAGATAGCAATAGCCCTTTGGGGGATGTGCTGTCTTGACTGGTTTCTCTTGTCAATAGTATAAACAGAGCAGTATATAAAACTATTAACTTTTCTACATCTTTTTAATACAAGTAGTTTATAATTTCAGCTTCCTACTAGGCAATTATTCAATCCTGCAACTTTATTCCTGAATTTTGGCTATAATTATTATCACTTGAATGTAGAAATGATTCCCTCTTTAAGGACCTTAGTTTGAGTGGGGTTTGCTTTGTTTTATGAGATTAGGAAAAGAATCATGTCTGTGGCTTTTTGTTGCTTACGTGTATAATATCAAGCCTTTCTATAAGTTTGATTTATTATGATAGCATGAAATTTTTCTTCTATGAAAGTGGATGAGCTGGGCACTGTGGTTCACGCCTGTAATCCCAGCACTTTGGGAGGCCGAGGCAGGTGGATCACCTGAGGTCAGGAGTTCAAGACCAGCCTGGCCAACATGGTGAAACCCCGTCTCTACTAAAATACAAAAAAATAAAAATAAAAACATTAGGCCGGGCACAGGGGCTCATGCCTGTAATCCCAGCACTTTGGGAGGCTGAGATGGGTGGATCACCTGAGGTCGGGAGTTCGAGACCAGCCTGACCAACATGGAGAAACCCCGTCTCTACTAAAAATACAAAATTAGCCAGGCCTGGTGGTGCGTGCCTGTAATCCCAGCTATTCGGAAGGCTGAGGCAGAAGAATCGCTTGAACCCGGGAGGCGGAGGTTGCAGTGAGCCAAGATTGTGCCATTGCACTCCAGCCTGGGCCACAGAGCAAGACTCTGTCTCAAAAAAAAGAAGGTGGATGGCCAGGAGCTGTGTGATTCTTTGCCTTAGATTAGGTTTTTCCCCTTGGAAATGCTGTGTCTTAAAACTGAGATTTGTAACACAAGGCAGCATCAAACTATCTTCAATTTCCTTAGCATCTTTTAATGTTCTTACTGCCCAATTAAATATTTGGTTTTTAAAATGGTAGTGAGTTATAGTTTTTTGAAATAATGTGTTTGTATTATTTTATAATAAACATGTAAATCTGGTGATAGGATTCAGAGCTACAAGGGACATGAGAAATTATGTAATCTATTGCCCCTGTGTTATAAAAGTAGGAAGTGAGGCTCATGGAAGGACTAGTAACCACCTAGACCTCACATCTCCTCACTTCCTATCTGGGGCTTTTTGTTCTATGTCTGAGGAAGTGGTTCTTACCTAAAGAGCAAGGTTTGTGGAAATAGTTGTTCACATTGAGCTGTGAAAGGCAAAAGAACCACAGCCTAGGCCTACTTACTAGATGTCACTGTTACAGGGGTGATTGTCAGATTGGTTAAAGCAGAAATCTTTGAAAATGATGCAATCATTATACATTTTATTTTAGCATAAAACACATAAATGTCTATTCACGTGTACCTCCCTCCTGTCCATGGTTCACCGCTGTCTCAGCCGTACCTCATTCTGCAGCAGCGTTTCACTAGCTCACTCATCCCCAGTGGTGGGTCTCTTTTCACATGGATACATCACCTGGTTCCATTTTCCATTCAGTTTAGAACTGGAGTAACTTGTAGCATAAACCTGCAGAGGAGGGAACAGAACTCACCACTGGGAAGCATCCTCCTCAGCTGGCATCAGCCGGGAAGTAGGGGGGCTTTCCAGAGAGGAGCCACCTCACCACTGAAGCCAGCAGATACCTCAGGTGGAGCTTAGTGCCTGCTGTGTGGATAAGGGGACCATTTGCATTGGTTTCCCTTTGGAAATGATGAGTGATTATCTTTCCTTCTACTTCAAGCCAGATCTCCAATAATATGCTGCTATAGAAAAGATACAGATCATTAATTGGTTAACTAGACAATAATCATTAGTTTACCCATCTTATTTTTATGCCTTTGATTTTCCTTTCCAGTAACATAATCTTTTTTTGTTTCTGTCTTTGTCGTTTAAATTCACCCGTAGAACTTGTACAAAGTACTCTTTAGAAGTAGCTGCTCAAAATTTTTGCTTTAAAAAGAAAACACCCAAATATCACCTTAAATTTCAAACCTTTACTGCTCACTGTAGTAACTGCTCTCTAGTCCTTAAATTTGATTATAATATTCTTGATAACAATAGAAAGCTAACTTTAACAAAAAGGAAAATTTGAAAATTCTTACAGATCTCCTCTGGTGAGATTTGAAAGGTAAGTGAGGTTTCAAATGTATTAATTTTCTGTTGCTGAGTAACACATTACCCCCAAATTCAGCAGTTTAAAACTATTCTTCCTGAGTATCTCACAATTTCTGTAGCCAAGAGTCCAATAACTGGGTCCTCTACTCAGGATCTCGTGAAGTTGAGATAAGGTATTGTCAGGGCTGTGGTCTCATCTGAGGTTTAGGGTTCTCTTCCAAGCTCACCCGTTGGCAGAATTTACTTCCCTGTGGCTGGAGTTCTAAGGTTCCCACCATCATGCCGCATGCTAACCCAGCACCCTTCTCAGTTTCTGGAGGTGACCTGCAGTTCCGTGCCTGTCTCCACAACATGGCAGCAGGCAGGAGATTTGCATTCAATCTCTCCCACCTCTTTTAAGGGATCACCTCTTTAGGTCAGACCCACCCAGGAATATCTCCTTTTATTAACACCAAAGTCAACTGATTAGGGACCTTAATTACATCTGCAAAATCCCTTCTACCCTATAAAGTGACATAATTGCAGAAGTGTTACCTGTCATCTCCACACCGCCCCCACCTCATACTTAGGGTCAGGCATTATGTAGGGTCTGTATACCAGGGGCTGGGAGTTTTAGGAACCATCTTAAAAATCTGCCTCCCACAGCTACTGATTTCACATTTGCCCTCAGATTTTAGAGATACAAAGGTCTTTTTTTTACATGTACTCAAAATGTCCTTAACTTGAATTTTTCTAAAATGCAGCTTTGGAAAAATGAGAGTGGGATATTATGGAACATATTTGACTGACAACATTGAAAAGAAATGATAAGCATCTTTAACAGAGCTATCCATCATAGCAGCAGTTTTATTGTTAGCTTCTGAACCTTTGCCATAGAGTGAGATAAGTAATTTCTTACTACAGGCTCTTACTGTGCAGTTGATGCACTTCTGGGGTGGGTGGAGGATGTGCTGCGTTTCTGTTTTCAGTGCTGCTGTTGAAGGTTTTTATGATCTCAGTTTCTCCTTCCAGTAGTTATGTTTGGTTATGATCTCATGAATCTTCATAGGCATGCAAATAATAGAAAAAGAAGGCCCTGCTGTGTCTGGTTAGTTTGATAGACTTGAAATGCTCAGAAAAAATTTTTGTCTAAACAATATTTTAAACATTTTGATGTTTAGTTTTGACTAATCATTTTTGGAGCATATAAGGAGAAACTTAGGCAATTGAATTTTGTTTAATTTTTTTTTTTGTTAAAAACTTTTCTTAAAAAGCTTTTTTTAACTTTTTTTGTTAAAACTTTTCTTCTTTTTTTGTTAAAACTTTTCTTCTTTTTTTTAAATAAGTTTAAGTTCAGGGGTACATGTGCAGGTTTGTTGTGTAGGTAAGCATGCGTCATGGGAGTTGTGCAGGTTATTTTATTACCCCAGTTGTTTGAATTTTTTTTTTTTTTAAGACGGAGTCTCACTCTGTTGCTCAGGCTGGAGTGCAGTGGCGTGGCTCACTGAAAGCTCCGCCTCCTGGGTTCACGCCATTCTCCTGTCTCAGCCTCCCGAGTAGCTGGGACTACAGGTGCGTGCCACCATGCCTGGCTCATTTTTTCTATTTTTATTAGAGATGGGTTTTCACTGTGTTAGCCAGGATGGTCTCAATCTCCTGACGTCATGATCCACCAGCCTCAGCCTCCCAAAGTGTTGGGATTACAGGCGTGAGCCACCACGTGTCCTAACTTTTAAATAATTATATATTTTTCTCTCAATTCTGTGAATCAAATATAATACAACATATTTTAAAAATCCAAACTATCCTTTATCTTTTAAAAAAATCAATCTTTTCAATTATGTTTGCAGGTATATATGTATATACACACATCTATAACTGTATAGATGAGATAGATAGTTATGTAAGATGAGGTTTCACTATGTTGTGCAGCCTGGCTTTGAACTCCTAGGCCCAAACGATCCTCCCACCTCAGCCTCCCAAGTAGCTGGGATTGCAAGTGTGAGCCACCATGCTTGGCACGTTATTTTGAATTTATCTTTGCTAACACTGATTCCTTTCAGAATTACTTTAGAGAAAAATAATATATTTTAAATAGGATTTGTATGCACTTGATTTCAGTCCTTTAGGTGGGGGAATTCCATAGAGCCGAAAATTTAAAAACGTATATAAAGCAAGTCTCATTATTTTTGAAAATGTGTCAAAATTTTAAAATAGCCATAAATATTTCCTGTGCTTGATTCTAGAATCAAACAAAAGTTTAGGAGGATTAATTTCAGATAGGGTTGATGATACCAACAGCATACTCTATGAGTACATTGAGTGGTTTTCTGATATTCCAGAGGAATTACTAATGTTGACATGAAAATTACTAGTTAATTTTCTTTCTTTTGCAGAATTTTTTGAGTTTTGATGAGTATTTTATGGATGCACCCGTTTTTGGGAACTCATGTGACTACAAGATGAACTGTAGTACTTAAGGAAAGCAGTGGCATAGTAAGGCAAGACAGACACCCAACTTCCATGCACACCGAAGTCATTGTCCTGTCTGATCCTGTGGTGGCTTGTCTGCTACCACCCTCACTTCACCTCCAGTAGGGCCACGAAGTTCAGATATGCCCAGATGACCAGCTGAACGCCATCAGGCTTTTCTCTAAATTATTATCAGCAACTGTTTCTCAAACTACTTTATCTTGGTCTTTTTTTTTTTTTTTTGAGACGAAGTCTCACTCTGTTGCCCAAGCTGGAGTGCAGTGGTAGGATCTTGGCTCACTGCAGCCTCCACCTCCCGGGTTCAAGCGATTCTCCTGCCTCAGCCTCCTGAGTGGCCGGGACCACAGGTACACACCACCATGCTGGGCTAATTTTTGTATTTTTAATAGAGACAGGGTTTCACCATATTGGCCAGACTGGTCTTGAACTCCTGACCTGAGGTGATCCACACGCCTCGGCATCCCAAAGTGCTGGGATTACAGGCGTGAGCCACCGCGCCCAGCCCTACTTTATCTTAATCTTTGTGCCAAATTATTTATTTCCTGCAACTGTGATGTCAGTCACCCTCTTTAATATGGCCTGATGTTCACAGAAGCAAGCCATGTGATCCGCGGGAGGCAGCTTGAGGCTCACAGCGTCTTCCTGCCTCACTCACCCGTGCTGGGTGCTGAGGACACTAGCGGTGGCAGACGTGGTTCTGGCCCTCATCATTTGCAATGCAGTTGGAGAGATGGGGCTGGGTAGCACCTGACCAGCGATATGTGGTTAATAAGACATAGAAGAGGGAAAATACCACGTGGTCTGGGGTGATCAGGCATTGAAGGAGATTTGACTTAGCTCTTTGCAGAGGAGGGTAGCCTCACAGACAGGCAGGAATGAATAGGCAGATCTAGCTGGGGCTGCGGATTTTGGTAGGAAAGATTTGGAGGCCCCAAAACACCTTGCCTAGATGTTTCAATGAGATGAGTTATAGCCAAAGGTACTTCAGCTTGGAAATTGTGTTTTTGTTTTTTTTTTTTGATAAAAATATATTCATTTATCGACAGTGTGTGGTATCTGTTGGCATGAGAAAAGATTTAAGAGACGATATATTGATTAGTTGTGTATCTTTAGAATCAAATGAGAAAATGTGAAAGTGCTTGGAAAATAGTAAATTGATGTATAAATGAAAGTTTTACATTATCATGTGTAACAGTTTGTTATATAATAGAGTTGTGTGATGTCAGGAATAAAAGAAGCTGGTGAAATTACTCCATTCGCTAGAAAATGGTTTACAGAATCAGCTAAGCCCTTGCTTTTTAGAGAGATAAAGTTACTTATCGTGTTTTCCTTTCTTACCTGAAATCTTCATTACATAGTGAATTGTTTGTAAATATTTGATAGTATACTGCAGAATATGAGGTTAAAAGAGTCTGATTCATGTAATGGAAATTAATCTATTGGTAAGTCAAATAAATGTTTATTCTTATATTTTACCAAAAGGTTTCTGAGATTAGAGTATTGACAAAGAGGTTCTGAGACTAGTTTACTCAACATTTATTAATTGTTTTCAGTGGGCCAGGCCCTGTGGAAAGCTCTGGGGTTAAACAATGATTAGCAAGATACAAGTGACCCTAAATTTCCTTAGCACGCCCCTTCTACTGCCTGGGAGACCTGGTGGGCTCTAAAGCTCCTGCCTGGCCTGGGAAACATTTTGTGAGGGAGAGAGAGCAAGCTTTCCTGAATATGAGTGATTATGCTTTTGTCTGTGCATTTCAGAATTTACAAAATGCTTTCTAGGAGTTTAAATGAGATAGAATGCATTTTGTTTTAGAACAAGGAGGGGAAAAATTTATTTCACTGCTTGTTGCTTAATCAGCATCTACGCTGCCACTTCACATCAGCTTCTGTCCTTTCCAAGTGAATTAGTTCTTGTGGGCAGCGTGTCAAGAGGAAGTGTATTGTTCCTGGCAGGGCACTTGAATTTCTAATTACCAGATTCCTGACTTAATTGCAATTACCTGGACACCGAGGCAGGGTGAACTTTTGGAAAAGAATGTAATTAGTGAAACAGGAACTTTACTGCCAACTCCCTGTCTAGATACCAGTACTAAAGAGACCGCTGATAAGTCCACATCTGGGAAAACAATCCATCAGTCGATAAAAACAGTTCTTAAGGTAAATTATATAGCATAGCGCCTCTCAGCTCTGAATTCAGAAACCAATACGATGGTAAAGCAGAGAGTGTTCAATTTTTACATTGTAATAGGGTATAGTAGACATGTGCGCAACTTTTTAAGATTAATTATCTGGAACAAAAATAATTATTAATAATTATTTGCAAAGTAGTCTCTGTTTGTATGCAAACACGAACATTACATACTTTGATTAATAAATGTAAAATCCCAAGGTCTAGTGCCATAGAAGAATAAATAATTTTCCAATATCACTTGTTTCACTAGTAGTTTTTCTTAAATAATACTTTTCAATAACAACAATTTCACACACAACCACAAAGTTTCAATCTGGTTAACATATAGATTTAAACTTATTTTGAAAGCATTTTAATATATGTGAAGCAAAATCTGAACTTTTTTTTTTTTTTTTTTTTTTTTTTACTATTCTTTCATTGTCTCATCACATTCAAGAGCCCGACCATGCTGTCTTGGCACAGATTCACAATCCTGAGATGGTAATAAATATCTGCTGATGGTTTACTTTACACATTTTTGATTCAGTCCTTAACCCCCTGCTATTTTTTCCTTCTCAGCTTCTCTGAGCTGTCCTTCCTTTCCATCTCAACAAATTCCTTGTCCACACCAAGGTTAATTTTGCCCCATCTGTGGTTAGTTAACTCACAAATGATCTTTTACAGCTTCTTCCCCCTGGAGCTGCTGGTGTTTTTTATTTTCAGCCTTTAAAAAAATGTTACAGAGTGGAGTGCTCTGCCCACTCCCCACCCCACAACCTGCTGTGGCACCTCTGGATGGGCAGAGGGTCTTGTGTGGTCTGTCTCACCTCCTGTGGACTCGTGACTCAGGCTGTCCCCTCAACTGATCAACCAAGACAATCTTTTTTTCCTGTCAAAGTTTAATTCCTTCTAATTCTTTAATTGTAATATATCCTATTTGTGTCTTTCTTATACATTTTATCATATATTTATTTTTACTGCATTAAATTGAGAGCCTGGCTGCATTTGAATTTACATTTGTTAGCTGTTTGCATAATGGCAATTATAATAGTAAAATTTTAAATGGGAGCAATAATAGTAAATATCTCAAAGCGGTGAAGATAGAGTTACATTACTTATCTGCAGCACTTAGAATGGTACGGAGCACATGGAAGTGCTCCACATGTCAACCCTGCAAGGTATGGCAGGTGATGTCCCATTTCATAGAGAATGGAACAGAAGAACCAAGAGGTGAGGTCACCTGCTTGACATCTCGCAGTTGTGGGGAGGAGTTCGGGCAGTGGGCGTGGGTATTTTAACTCCTGGTTATTATTGCCTTTACCATCTCAGGGTTGTCAGATTTAGAAAAAAAAAAAAAGATTGCCCAGTTATAGTTGAATTTCACATAAGCAATGAATAAAATTTTAGTATAAGTCCAAATATTACATGGCACATACACTTAAAACTTGTTATTTCTCTGAAATTTAACTGAGTTCCCATATTTTATCTGATAACTCTAATCCATCCAAAGTGCCTACTCTGTGCCATTCCTTAAATAATATACCAGAAATAAAAAAGATAGCTGATTCCACCCTTTGTGTATTTTTTCACAGCATAAAAAAGCCTGTTTTTGTTTTTCAGACAACCCAATTAAGAACAATTAAACTGAAATGTCTGTGCCATGTTTTTTCCAAACGTGCATCGTGTGGTAGGAGGAAAGTATTTTTATGGAAGAGTCACCATGGTAAATTTTTCCAGCAGCTAATAACCACTGAGTTTGCAGTGGGAAAAGCGAGACAGCAAAAATGAAAGGAGCTAAAGACAGCCCATGCGTGCTGTCACTGCTGTCACTTTTTGGAGATAATAAAATGTTTGACAAAGCAGTCATGATAAGCCGAATCTACTTTCCCAAGTACATAGCTACAACATTAGATTCTTTTGCTTTCTCTTGCTATTGTATGTTCCCCTGTTTCTGTTTCTCCTTTTGTTTTGTTGTTTTTTTTTTTTAGAGACAGAGCCTCCCTCTGTCACCCAGGCTGGAGTACAGTGGCGCCATAGCTCACTGCAGCCTCCAACTGCTGGGCTCAAGCAGTCTTCCAGCCTCAGCCTCCCAAGTACTTGGGACCACAGGCACACACCACCATGCCCAGCTAATTTTTTTCATTTTTTGTAGAGACGGGGTCTCACTGCATTGCCCAGGCTGGTCTTGAATTCCTAGCTTCAAGCAATCCTCTCACCTTGGCCTCCCAAAAGTGTTGGGATTACAAGTGTGAGCCACCGAACATGGCTTGTTTCTCCTTTTGTTAATTGCTGTAGACACGAGTTTGATTTTTAAATTTTCCCTTGTATATTCATAGAAGGTATGAGGACAGGGTACCATAAGAAACTGATGACGGTGGTCCGATGAGCACTCGCTACTTGCCTTCCTCCTGTGATGTTTGTTGTTTCATACAAAGTGTCTGTTAATCTGGTATGTTTTAAAATATATATATATATATTTTTTTTTTTTTTGAGATGGAGTTTTGTTTTTGTTGCCCAAGCTGGAATGCAATGACGCGATCTCAGCTCACTGCAACCCCTGCCTCCTGGGTTCAAGCTATTCTCCTGCCTCAGCCTCCCGAGCAGCTGGGATTATAGGTGCGCACCAGCACACCTGCCTAATTTTTTGTATTTTTAGTAGAAATGGGATTTCACCATGTTAGCTAGGCTGGTCTCGGACTCCTGACCTCAGGTGATCCACCCGCCTCAGCCTCCCAAAGTGCTGGGATTACAGCCGTGAGCCACCGTGCCCAGCCTAAAATATATTTTAAAGAAATAAGTTACATTTCAGAATGAGAATGGATGGGTCCTACTGACCATCCTCATCTTGGATTTGAAGAATGTAGAGAATCTTTAATGTGGTGGCTTTTCCCTTTTTTTTTTTCTTTTAAACATTTTTGAATCTTAGATTACTATCAAGTTCCAAGGGAGAGAGGACAGTTTCCAGGACAGGTGAATGAGCCACCAGCCATTTTTTCATGCCAGTGTGAAATGTTGAGTAAGGGAAGAAGGGGTGGCAGCTGGGGGGCTAACATTTACTGAGCAGCAAGCAAATACCAGGTGCTTTGCATTTCTTTTAACACACCACCTTAAGAGGCAGGTGCTCTCATGCCCCTTTGACAAAGGAGGAAACAGCCTCACAGGTTAGGTAGCTGATACTGTGAGGCATGCGGCTAATAAAAAGCCAGTGCCTTTTCCACACCAAGATGCTTATCATTAGGGGCCCTTTCCTCCTCTGTTAGATTTTTTTTTAGATAGTTGTGCTATTACTTGACTTGCCTATAGAATGTGAGTTTAATTCTATTATACCATAAGAATTGAGTGTGGAAGAATAGTATGTTAACTTCTCAGGCACATGTGAGTTACCAACATAAAATGTGTGTAAAATATAAAACTCATACGAAATGTACTTCTAATGAGTCAGACTTCTCAATTTTATTGTTATGTATGGAATGACTGCCAGTGGGTAAACCTGACAATCTAGTCCTTGTACAATATGCAAATGGCTAGTGTGTTATCTGGGAGGGTTTTAGTTTTTCATGACTTATCACAGGGTGACATTCCTTTAGCAAATGTCTTTAAGACCAAGATCTGGTTCTCTGTTTTACAAGGCTCAGAAACCAATGTTACCAGGAGAATACTGAGAGCTAGATGACCCATCTCAGATGAAGACTCATGGACCACACTGGTTGGCACCGCAGTGCTCTACCTGCAGGCTGACCTCTGTAGGGAGAGGCCAGTCTGTGAGGGGGGCATCAGAACATGGGGTGGTTAAATAATTGGAAGGTTTGTGGCATCCGACTAGGCTAGCCGGAAACCTGCATCTCCACAGTAGGAATCCCATTCTGGTTGTGCAGTCATCTCTGATATTCATTGGCCTGGATTCCCTACCCTGTTGTCATCTTTGTCTTGCAGCACCTCTGAGATTTTTCCCTGGCTGATCAGCCCCTCGTTTGACTGATACAGTTTTTCCTGAGCCATCTGAGTATATCTGGTCTGACGATAGGTACTGCCTATTTAGGAGTTGGCCTTGCTCTTTAAGGTAACTTTGCATGTATCTGCTGAACAGGAATACTTGTTTTTCATGAGACTCTAAAGCTCCTTTCTCCAGAACGCATGTTTAGCTATGTGTGTTCGTAATATTAAAGAGCAAAATAAAACACTCAGAGGCTATGCTCAGTTTTTATGATGATACGGAAACATTCTTCTTAGTGTTTCTTCGATGGTTTGAGTGTATTGTTGTTCCCAGTGAACAGTGAAGACTTGATTTGTTTAATTTTTACTCTTCTAATGCTTCTTATTCATGAGCACTTATAACCCAATCCAAAGTCTGTCAAGTGGAGAACGCACAACCCTGGCTTTCTGGATTCGCCGAGAACACTTCCAAATGCACCTTTAGCTGCTGCACCTGACGAGTGTCATGCCCCACTGTCCCCACATCCTCTCCTGACCAGCTGAGTGGATTACACTTTAGAGCTTCGGCCCTGGTGGATCCAGCTTCTAACCCCAGGCTCCGGCCTCTGCCTGATACTGCGTGCACCCCAGCCACAACCTTGGCCTGCCCCCTGCCCTTCAGCCCCGGCTCTCACTTTCTCTCCCTCTTTTTTTGATTACTACTCCCTTTCCTTCCTCTTCAGGACAAATAAGCAGTAGAGGAAGTTACTGTCTTTTGTTGTTTTATTAGGAACTGACTATAATTCTAAAAGACACTCCATTTTCAAGTCCAAATGGCTCAACCCATTCTCTACTGGAGTAGTTTGTTTAACAAAAATTATTATTTGCAAATAGTTATTTTTATAGATATGAAAGTAAGGAAGTAGTGTTTAAGTTAAAAGAGTATTAAAGCAGCATTTTATCATATTTGGGGAAATTCACCTCTCCACGTCCCTATCTAACCCATACATAACTGTGCTAGTCAAAGTCATGAAGAATATAAGTTAAAAGAAGTTCAAAGTAATGAAAACTTGAAGGAAAATCTGAGAGACAAATGAAAAATGCTTTCAAATGTGATACTACTGAAGATAGTAAGGTAAAATTGCCTCTCTTTTTTTAAGCTGAAACTACTTTGGCTCTGGGTATTAACTGGTTCTGTACCATAATCGGGATATATCATTCCATATGTGTATGCCTGTGAATTCGTTAATATAAATGATGATGATATTGTGGTTTATACTTTTATTTTAAATTAAAAAACCGTCTCTAATTGATGAAAGGTGCCTTTATGGTACAGTTACTTTCAAATACATCAAGCACTGCTTGGGTTGACCCTTGACTTCATGGGCATGTTGGTCTTTGACCCAGAACTGGTAAATGAACCCTGCAGGGAAATCATTAGAGAATTGGAACAATTGTGGTAGTGGGATCAGGGGTCAAACCATTACCTACCCATAGAAACTTCCGTTTCAGTTGGACTTCTTGCTTTTCTGAGAGCAGGTCATATTTTCAGGGAGAATACCAAAGAAGAATTTAGCGTACATTAGTGCTGACCTATCAGGAGAAATAAGACCGTAAGGATTTGGATGATGGCTGGTTTATATTCTCTAATGCCATGACAAATGACTATGCTGTCATTGTGTAGAAGTCCATTTTTTAATGTAAGTATTGTGGAGGTGTAACATAAATACAGGGACATGCACAAATTTAAATGTACAACTTGATACATTTTCTCAAAATGAACACACTTGTGTAATCAGTACTTGGTTCAGAAACACCACCAGGACCCCAAAAGCCCTCTTATGCCTCTTTTGAATCATTATCCATCCATCCCCAACCCCTACCACACTGTCTGAATAAAAGTCAGTTAAATTTCCAGTCCCCGATGGTCACTAATGGTAAGCCATTTGTTTAGTCTCCCCACAGAAAACAATCTTATTTCTTCACATGAAAATGTGAGAGGGTTTGTGTGAAGAAAACACAAAACTTATTCAAGGAGTTTCTGTCAATATCAGTTTTTACTGTTTCATATAGTAACTAAAAGAAATTTTAGACAAGATGGATGTCATGGAAGAGAATATTCTTTGCTTTCAAAATCAGTTACTCAAGAGTTACCCTTTAAAAATTACAGAAAGGAAGAAAAGGTGTAGTTCAATTCTTTTCCATTTTGGTTTTACTATTCTTCCTTCTGTAATAACTGTTTTCTGAGGACTGTATATAATCTCAGAATTTTAAATGGTCTCCTGACAATTAAATATAAAATATAATGCACAATTAGTTTTAAAGTATCTTCCATTAAATATATAAATATCTCAATGAAGAAAGTTTTAATTTTAATGACATTTTTGGGCCAAAACACTGTCTTGCTTGTATGATGATATTATAGCCTTTAACGGATAGCTTATGTCTGAGTTCATGGTGGTCTTTTGTTCCAAAGAATAGAATCATTTAGTCCCTTCGTTAGGATACTGGGAGTGGTGTTTTGCCATTTTCTGTTCCAGTGGAAGATCTGGGAGGTAATTATTGCAGTGGGAGAGATTTCATTTTCCATCAAAGCAAAAATAATACTTGTTTTGCTAGGAGAGGAAGGAGATGCACTTGAATTATTAAATGATTTTAATTTCAGAAAAACCGTGAACCTCCTGGAAAACACTGATAGAGTACAGTTTTTTAAAATTTCTTTCTCTGGCTTGTTTTTTTTTCCTTTGGTGTGGGAGTAGAAAGGAGAAAAACATGTATTAGAGGAGTGGACTTTAGAACACTGAAAATGGGCTTTGAAGACAGAGAGCTGGATTGAAATCATGGCCCAACCACCTCACCCTCTGAATCTGTTTCCTGTGTATGAAATGCAGTTGTCTCTACTTACTGAGTGGGCTGTCAGGATAAAAAAAACAAGAAGTGCTATCATTTATTCTCACTGTTTGCCAAGCAGATTCCAAGACTTTCTTCTGTCTCATTATAAACAAAGATTTTAGCAGTATTTGTACTAGTTTGTCAATGAAGAAATTGAGGTCTCAGAGCTAAGTCAAGTGTTTAAGGCTGAATGGCTAGTAACCAGTAGAAGTAAGGAGTGAACCAAGTTCGAGTCACAAAGCCCATGCTCCTAACCACGAAGCTTTGCTCGTTTTTCTGGGAAGTACAGGCCATCTACTGGTGCCAGGCAGGGTCACTGTGACAGTGCATCCAGGGTTAATTTCCTGAGAACAAATGGGGTTTGAAACTGGCCTGGTGCTAAGACAGAGTCTCCCTGCTCCCCTCATTCCTGAGAATGGGGTACAGTTTCCTTCCACAGAGGAACCGTGGTTTTACGGGGCTGCATCTTGCCCATAGGGCCACTTTTTTTTTGCTTCTCGCGAAGGTTCCTCCTGCTCAAATGTGCATGTATAGAGAGTTTCCTATATCATTTAGCTTAGCAGTGATAGGTTAAGATTTTCAATAATATTTATTATTTGCTGGATCTGCCCGACACTTTGTCTGCTTTCCTTGCATTTTTCCGCATGTGTGGTCATTGACCTATTTGTTTATTCACACAGAAAGTATTATAATATGCACTCGTTCTGCGTACTGTGCAGTGCCTGTGTTTTTCTGTCTTCTGCTCTCTTTCCCCATTTTCGTCTTGTCCCTTTTTTCCGCCTTTTCTTCCTGTATCCTGCCATATGTAATTGCAGAGTGTACATGGTCAGCTTCTCCATAGGTGGAGTTAATTCCACAGTCAACAATTCTCAGGAATTTAAATTCAGCTTGTGCCATACCCCATATGTTTAAGACCTAAAACAATCGTAGGTACTTCAGAACTCCTAACTTTATAAAATAAACTATTTATCACTTCATATGGCACCAGGGATCCATTGTAAGTTGAGAACTGTGCTAGATCACAGATGGTTTACTTCATGGACTGTGATTTCACAAAACATTCTGTCTTCACAATTTGGTTCTCTTATCTTTCACTCGTGTGAATTCCATGGGAAATCAGCAGACAGAACAAAAATCCGTTGCCTTATCAATTCGAGCAAAATTATTAGCACTCATGATAAAATACATTTTACTTATTGCTCTTTAAATTCCCTCTGAACTTAATTATGAATTTTTGTGTTGTATTAGAGGTGGGCCTCCTGCACAGGTCAGGTAGGCACATTATGAAGACATTCTCTTCTGCCTGTGTTGGTGAGAGGTAGCTGTCTTCAGCTGAATCTGATGATGGTCTCTTGTTTTATGGACCTGTGCACAATACAGGCTGTTGGGGATCACCCACAAGAAGATACACTAAATATTATTATGTTTGCAAGTCCAAGCAATTGGAGAACTGGAGAAAACATTCTGTGAGACCCACCGAAGGGTAGAAATTAGAAAACAAGAGATCTATTTTAAGTCACCAAAGGATCTATCAAAGTATATCCTGCTCTTATGCATACTGTGACATTTCTGCTGCATAGTTTTGCATTTTACTCTTCCTTTTATCACTTACAAAGTTATATTTTTACTAAATGAAAAGATTTTGAGATCATCATATGCTTACATAGTGTGAAATACCTGTTAGAGAATGCATTTAACTAGAGACATACACCCTCTCACACACGTGCGTACACAGATGCATACAAACACATCCTCTGCTCTCTTGGATGCAGCTATCAATATCTGCGCTGATGTTGTTAATGAATATATCTAGAAGCTGCATCCTAATGTAGTCTGTGTTTGTAGAACCTGTGCATAGTTTTGATATGAATCACTTAGCTTCTCCGGACCTCTGTTTCACATTTCGAAAACACAGAATAGGAGTAAATGTCTACTGTGGTCTTGTTTCAGTTCTGAAAATTCTGTGCAGTTCCTAACAACCAGGCAGTCATAAGGGTTTCTCTTCTGAGTGAAATGTAGCGTCCCCCTACATTTTAATGTTTAACTTGTATCACGTTTTTATCTGAACTACTGTGGTTATTTTTTTTTCTTTTTCTATACTCAAATGTGAGGCCCCTTAACATCTGCTAAACTGCTCTAAGAATTGATGATGTCTAGTTTGGCTAAGAAGAGCATAGGTTAGCTGTCACAAGTCTAAATATAGCTCCATTTATTTTTTATATATTATTCATGTCCTGCATGTGTCAGGTATGGGAACCTTGCATTTACTATTTATTGCTGTTGTCAGAATATTCAGTAGCAAGTTCCTGAGGACTGTTTATGGCCTCTCATTGTCAACTGTGGGCTACCTGGTTATAAAGCCATTAATCTAATAAAATTTAATATGATGTTTGCAACGTATTGCAAATTTAACACTACTAATTTCTTGTAGGTAGGCTACAGTTAATGCAGTTACTTAGCTGCTTCAGAAATGTTCTCTGGCAAAACCCACTTTTCCTCACCAATGTAAAGTGAGGCCTCTCTCAGTTTTTTGCCACTCTTGAACATTTAAATTCCCTTTGCTTCAGCATTTATTCATGTTCCTTGTACCAGTAATGTTATGTTATTCAAGGGCAATCCTGTTTGAATACTCAGATCATAGACCAATTGCCAGTGCCTAAAGCAAACCTGGAGCCTTTTTCCTGTGAAGAATCAGTATCAGCTTGACACTAATGATCATGAGTGGTAGGTAATGAGAGGTTGCAAGCTAGTGGAAAGGAATCCCGCAAACATACCTTTCTTTGTAACATAACAGTACTTAACAGTTCAGCTTCTAGGACTGACTAGGTAACTACATGAAGCGGCATTCCAGCGTCCTAGCCTATACGAATAACGTTTCTCCTTGGAAATTGTAGTTGTTCTCTTAAAAGGCATGATGTAATTCATTTTTCCTGATAGAGGATAGCCAGTAGGTCAGTTGATATCATATCTGTTTTTGCATACATATTATGCTTAAAGATATGTTGTTGCCTATACCTAAGAAAAAAGACTAGAAGGAAATATGGCAAAATGTTACAATTTAGTAAGCTCTGAATAGTGACACTACTGATCATTTTTTTTCTATTTTGTTTTCCAATGTGTTTCTCTTATTTTTTAAAGAATAATAAGCTGTGTTACCTTAAATTGTTCATTTTGTTTTTTTCTTTTTTTTTTAAAGAAAGATAAAATATATTTCTCTTATTGCTAATAAATATATTTTTTGGTTAGTAGTACATGAAATCAGGTCTTCAGATCTTTTCTCCTTTGAATAAAAATCTATATTGGAATTATTGTAAGTTTTGATATTCTAAATTGCTAAATATCAACATCTCTTCCTATTGCTAGTATACTGACACCTCCTTTTTTGTTACTAGTTAAAAATCTTCAATAAAAGTTAACACTAAATGTCACTTCATAATTACAGTAATGATCACACAGCTGTGCTTTGCTCAGTTTATAACATATGTCAGCATCAGTTTAGGAGCTCAGCATCGTTTCCTGCCCAGATATAATTCTTCAGACAATTCTTGTGGTCAGTGCTAAGGGTAGTCAATCAGGCCAGGAGTTCAGGTATGAAGTTCTGGAGCATGCGGCAGTATCCCTTGCCCTTTGCAGGTCTCCTGGCCTTTATGTGTTTATTTACTTACTTATTTTCTTAGTTTTCAAGTATTTTACATTGCTAGATTAGGAACAGTTTTATTTACGAGCATGTGAATTTTTGAGGAGGAACTCTTACACTTAAATGAACCTGTAAGAAGCCCATAGAAAAGCAAATGCCTGCAGCGCTAATAATGAGAACTGACAAGGCAATCCTGCTGGGTTTATTTATGACCTTCTGCCTTTGTTAGCTCTTGTGAGAAATTCCTTTCTAACCATAACAATATTGTTGGAGTTTGGCACTGTACAGAGAAATCCTGCCGAGCCCTGGGGCCCACAAACTGGCACTCGTGCAGCTCGGAGCAGATTGCTGTGCTCCTCTTAGCTTTACATTTTTTTCCTTCACTCTTCTTTTATTTAATTTCTAAGTAACATTTACCAGTCTTCGTATGTTTATTTTTAAAGATGCTGCTTTTATTCTCAAAGCCAAAATTCATTTTATCCTTAGTACAATGTCTTATCTACTTAGCAGTGTTGAGAAAAATTCAGAAGAGGACAGGATGCAGAAGGCAAGAAGAGGCAGGTGCACTCCACACAAGGGCACACCTTGGAAGGTCCCATCACACTCTGCAGACTGATGGACTGCCGTGGTGCTCCTAAACAATCTCACGTGGTGACACATCCTAAGAGCAAAAAGTGAGCTCAGTAGGACAAATGGACTGCAGGTTATAGTTTTAGGATACTCTTTCCTCTCCATTTCATTACTTTAAGACTTCTACAATTTCCAAATGAAACAGGAACTTTAAAAGCATCAGTTCACAAATAATTGTCTTAAAAATTATAATTATCTTTGAAAGGAAAAAAAATACAACAACAAAACAAACAAACATTAAGCATGTAACTCTTAGAAGGAGACCATTGACAAGATTGTTGAGGAGTTATTCCGGGCACAGGCGCTACCTGTACCTGAAGCAGTGGTATTCATTGTTTCCTGATAATTGGTCCTATTCCACAAAGTTGCCAGCAGTGAAAGAATAACAATTTATTTTAAAGTCTGTGTAAATTATTGATAGGCATGTGACTTCTGTTTCTTCTGAGAATCTTCAGGTTCAAGATGCCAGCTTCTGTGACCCATTTAACTAGAAGTTCCTATGTCTGAATTTATTTGTTCGTCTTTTGGGGAAGGTTGGGTTGTTAGACTGGGGCTGTTATTATCAAAAGGCCATGCTATGAAAATCTGACTTTAGACTTTTGCTTTTTCCCACTTACCCAAAATCGGATTTTTCAGAAGTTTTCCTCAGCTATCTTATTCAGGTATTTACAGACTTGCTAAATGGGGACCATAAAGAAAATCTTAGTAAAAATATTAGGTTGATCAAATGTGCAAAGTATGCATATGAGCAGAATTTTTTCTTTGTCCAACTTGATCTTATCATTTCCTTATTGTATATGTCTTCATTAAGTTTTAACATCTATTCTGAAAATACTAATGTGATTTCATGCTACTGCTATTCATCTGTTTCCCATCTTTTAAATAGGATTTGTTGTTCACCTTCGAGTGGGCATAAGTTAATCTTCTCTTCATTCAGTTGTGCTGTAGCTATGTGTTAAAATCTCCAGGGTCCCCTTTTGTTTTATTTCCTTTACAAAAAAAGCTTCAGCATTTATACAGTTGGTAAATTCTCAAGTACAAAGAAGGAAGTGAAAATCCTCCCAAATCTGATCACCTCAAATAACTACTGTTAATATTTTATTCAGCACCAGTCTATACCTGTTAGGCATTTAAAAAGGCACGTATATACAAGTGTATTTTGTATGTATAAATAAGCCTGCATGCTCATATAATCTTTATAATGTTTATTTTCTGTTGTTACTTGATTTTCGTTCAATCTTTTCAATAAAATTGTACTGTTTATATTAATATGACATACATTTTTAATAATTTCTATATACTTTTAAATTGCTCGCTACTAAACAGATTTAGATGATTTCTAACTTATTGCTGTTACAATGTCCAGTTTTCTTATTTCCTGTTTTAAATTATCTTAATACTATGTGATATTATAAAACAAAAATCAAAATAATCACTAACATATATTAAGTGGATTCTTTATTAACTCATTCAGTTCTCTCAGCCTCTTTGAGACAGAGATCCATTTTATAGGTGAAGAAACTGAGGCTTAGAGATGTTAAATCACTTGCCCAATGTCACACCACTGGGAAGTACTACAGCAAAGACTTGAACCAAGGCTTTACAACCTGGGCTGGTTCCCTTCTCTAGTCAGTGCTGTCTTTGGTGTGTAGTGTTTATATACTTTAAAGAAGTGCCAAAGGCCATTTGCTTAGTATAATATTGATTGTTAATATAACTCTTTGCCTAATACATAATTATCTGATAAATATTTGATAAAGAATGGGATACATTTATGCCACTAGTATTTATTCACCCCATCTTTTTTTTTTTTTTTTTGGAGACACAGCCTCACTCTGTCGCTCTGGCTGGAGTGCAGTGGTACAATCTCGGCTCACTGCAACCTCCGCCTCCTGGGTTCAGGGAATTCTCCTGCCCCAGCCTCCTGAATAGCTGGAATTACAGATGTACACCACAACACCTGCCTAAATTTTTGTAGTTTTAGTAGAGACAGGGTTTCACCGTGTTGGCCAGGCTGGCCTCAAACTCCTGACCTCAGGTGATCTGCCTGCCTCAGCCTCCCAAAGTGCTAGGATTACAGATGTGAGCCACCGCGCCTGGCCCTATGCACCCCATCTTTTAAGTGAGATATTTTTCTACAAGTCATTTACACATTCTTTACTCAAAATGTATTTTACCTTATAAGCAGTGTTTAAAAACAGTATGTGTCAGAACTGTGTTAATATGTGGATGTATGTATTTATACATAGCGACTGCTTATTGAGCACTTATTGTATGCTTAATGTTTCAGATTCACGATTGCATTTAATTCTCACTGTGGCATAAATGTTATTTTCTCTATTTGGGGGGTGGTGAAATTAAGTATTCTCAGTGAACTTAGGTAACTTGCTTAAGGTTAGGTGAAGAAATGATTGCACCAGGACCTGAGTTTACACTGCTCTTACCCCACAATTCCTGCTGGAGGAGTTAGCTGCCATGTTATTATTCAACACCTTTATCACAGTAAGTATTTAACGAGCACAGATCTTGGTGCCAGACAGATCAT
Organism: Homo sapiens; assembly: GCF_000001405.40. Lineage (NCBI taxonomy): Eukaryota > Metazoa > Chordata > Mammalia > Primates > Hominidae > Homo > Homo sapiens. The sequence goes on from NC_000006.12 coordinate 157,073,847, forward strand.
GCTTAGTGCTGCTTTATCTACAGCAACTCAGTTAACTCTCTCAACACTGTGAGTTCATTATTTATTATCCACATGCTACACACACAAGTGGAGTGGAGGCCGGTAGGGTTTGACTGTGGCTCAGGCCTTTGCCCAAGTCCTCCGAGTGAGTGAAACTGACCAGCAGCTGTCTGGTTCCAGAGCCCGAATTCTATTGTAATCATCCCCATCCCCCAAAACAAAAAGAAGACTGTTATGATACCATACAAATATCAAAAAGAAAACTTGAACATTGATTGCATGCCTTTGAGAAGCAGGTTTCATTAGAGGATTAGAATAAGATGTAGCAAGAAGGCTTCACAGCACCTTCCAGAGATTTTCAGATTGTTTTTTGTTTGTTTGTTTGTTGGTTTGTTTGAGACAGAGTCTCACTCTGTCACCCAGGCTGGAACTAAGTGGTGCACACTCTCAGCTCACTGCAACCTCAGCCTCCGGGGTTCAAGCAATTCTCGTGCCTCAGCCTCCTGAGTAGCTGGGATTACAGGTGTGCCTCACCACACGGGGCTAATTTTTATTTTTAGTAGAGATGGGGTTTCACCATGTTGGCCAGGCTGATCTCGAACTCCCGAGCTCAGATGATCCGCCCACCTCGGCCTCCCAAAGTGCTAGGATTACAGGCATGAGACACCATGCCCGGCCAATTTACAGATTATTGATCAGAGTTTAAGTCCAGCTTTACTTGTTTGGATATATAATTTACTTGGATAAAGAGGAATTAGGCAATATGATGGGCTAGTGAGTCAAGTTCTTTTGGTCTCTCCCTTGTTCAAAGGTATTACAGTGCAAAGGAAATGTGAATTTTATTCTTGTGCCTTTGGGAGTCCCATGTCTTATTTTATGCTGTCTTTGAGACTCTTTATAGTGGAGTGAAGTGATCATCAGAGGAAACTTTTTATCCTACTCTAGGGTCTGGGAACGTGCTCCAGGGAACAGGGTAATTATTTATAAAGGTGAGGTATAGTAACATCATGGCGTGGTGTAAGAATGGCTCTTGTGGAGAGGTAGTATGGTTGAGTGTAAAACACACTGGGTGTCCAGTGCTCATTCAAGTCCTTATTGATACTATTTTCTTTATCATCATGGTTATTATTATTGGCATTGGAAGTTTCTTTCTGAGACCCTGAATAGGTTGATGACCACCTCCTTTTGAGTAGTTTTTGAAGTAACATATTATAAAGTGGTTATATGCTCTTGGAAAAAATTATTATGTAAAATTGCACTTGAGTGCTAGCACTTGAGGTATTAAGTGACCAGCTGCCCCTGTACAAAAATGAAAACTCATTTTGGAAACCTCTTATCTAAGTGAGTCTATGAATCATAACAGAAAATAAGAAAAATGCATGGTTTTAAGTTTGACTTTTGCGGGAGTACTGCATTTGTTGAATTTGATTTTAAAATATAAAAATAGTCTCCATAAAACATTTCCATCTGTAATCTAGTTAAGCTAATCATGTAAAAAGTTTCTGAATTCTCTACTTTTCTAAAGCATTCAGAAGTCTTAAAAATGATTTTAATGAAAATATGAAAATTTTCTACTAGGATACTTGCATAATTTCATATATATCACCCAAAATGTTTATTCTTGTCTGGTTTTTACATACATCCACAAAATTTTTGATATTCTTTTACTAGGAGGTGGAGCTTAATTCCCCTCCCATGAGTGTGGGCTGGACTTAGTGACTCCCTTCATGAGTAGAGTATGGACAGGGAATAAAGTAACTTAACAATGGAGAAACCTGGTTGACACCACCTTAACCAAGTGATCAAGGCTAACATCACCAGTGGTGAGTCATGTTGACATCGTCATGTTGACCTCGTCCTCCCCGCTATGGTACGATATGAAGGACACTTCACTTCTGTGGTATTTTCCCCCAAAATCTGTAAGCCCAGTCTCATCATGAGAAAACACCAAGACATGCAAATGAAGGACATTTTACAAAATACCTGACAAGTACTCTTCAACTGTGTCAAGGAAAGACTGGGAAACTGTCACAGAATGGAGGAGGCTAAGGAGACACGGCGAGTCATTGTAACATGGATGGTGGGTTGGGTCCTGGAACAGAAAAGGGACATAAGTGGCAAAGCTGGAAAAATATGAATGAAGTCTCTGGTTAACAGTGTCGTAGTACTGTTCATTTTGCAGTTTTGATAAATGTGCCATGTTATGTGAAATGTTGCTGTTAGGGAAACCGGATGAAGGATGTAAAGGAACTCTCAGTCTGAAGTCATTTCAAAATTGAAAGTTAAAAAGTTCAGTGAAGGATGAAGAACAAATACATTTTTTCTTATGGTTCATGTGAATGGGTAGAATATCAAAATAACCAAGTTTAGTAATGTTCTACAAGTAAAACTTGCCTATTTTTCATAGTAGACTCCACACAATTTGTGAGTTGTGTGTTTTTCTGTTAGGTTTTTTTGTTTGTTTGTTTTGTTTTTTTTTCCTCCAGGAGATGAGGTCTCACTGTGTTGCCCAGGCTGGAATGCAGAGGCTATTCACAGGTACAATAGTGTCCTACAGCCTTGAACTCCTGGGATCAAGCAATATTCCTGCCTAATTTTTTTAAAGTTGCTAATTTATTTACAGTTCCTATAAATCTTAATGTTTATAAGCATTTTACTGCTATACTACTGAAGAAATGAATGTCTCCAGAAGGCTCATGCCTTTTTATTGTGTTATTTTTAGAGATTCTGTGTGCTAAGCATTGTACTTCTAAGATAAACAGTAAAGTTGTTGTGGGTTTTTTTTTACCATGAGAGATGGAAGTGGTGGTATTGATGGCTTTTCTGTCCTGAAGATTTATTGTAAACTTTCAGTTATAAAAACAGGAATCTGTAGGCAAAGTCTGAATCTTATATATTTACAGGTCTTGTTAGTTTGTCAATTTACTTTCAAAAGCACATGGGTCATTAATATTTATAGGTTCCTACCTGGCAATGATGTTTGGGAAGCACCAACCCATAAACCCATCTCTCTCTCTTCCTCAGTGGTATTAGGTGATTTTTTCCTTTCTAACTAAATACCTTGAGAGTCATCACCAGCAGTTTTGGAGTAGAATATAGAATTAAGAGACTATAATCTTTAAGACTGTATGTTAGTCATAGTTTTTAGATACTGTCAGGCTGTTTTAAGGTTAAGGCATATATCTTTCAACTCATGTTTTTCATTGATTCTCACATGGACCTGAAATGAGTCAGATGACTATGTCGATCCTTAAAATTATTGCAATCTAGAAAACATGTTGCTATTTAACCCAGACTAGAGTTACTCAGGCAATTTTGTTGTCATTGTGTTATTTGTTTAATTCTATATAATGCTAAAAATATACAGATTTTTTAAAAAGCACTTTACAGATTTATTCTTAAATAGTACCTGCAATTTTAATTGTGTTTAAAGTGTTCTTAGTCTCTTCGTTGGCACCTATTGCAAATTTTTCCTCTTCTAATAATATTAAGACTCACTTTCTGGACCTCTGTGGCTCCCTGGTTCCTAAAAATGTAGGCCCCTGTTCCTTGGCATAAGCACGTGAGGCCATGCGCAGCCTGCCTCTGCCAGGCTCCGGAGCCTCACCCTCTCTCCTGGGCATCCCAAGTGCCGCCTGTGCCGAAATGAGCATGCCCTCCCCTCACTCTTCCTGCCCTTTGTGCCTTTGTGGATTGTCCCCTCTGCTTCCTGTCTCTTTCCCTGCCAAGTGCCCCTTCCCACCAGCTGTCCTAGAGTATCCTTTACTCCTGGTTTGGACCCCAGTCCCTGGACATTTACCCGTCAGTCTGTCCTCTTAGCACTTACTAATTCACCCTCCATCATAGAATTTTCTGCACTTCATTGTTGTTTGTGTGGTTTGTCTCTCTTCATTGAGACTCAATGATAGAAGGACATTCAAGTGTACAAGTCCACATATGAATATAAAATGTCATCCACACGTCAACACTGCCTTCTCCCTTTTTCTCCACCTCCTCTCACCCATCCCACAGCACCAACTACAAAACTTAGATAGGGCTTGCTTAAGGGTGACTCTAGTACAAAAATACCTTTCCTCACATTATTCAGTATCTCACTTTTTTATAAAGCTTTAATTTCATCAGTACACTATAATTTGTTTTCAAAACATCATTGTTCCTGGAATAATAAAGGGCCAGCAGTTACGCACACGAGTCTTTTTCGTGTTTTAGCACTGACATGGGGCTTGACTTGTGGGTAGGAAGAGTCTTAAGTTCGTTGGACTTAAGTATGATAAAATCAGATAAAAAGCATTTTAACTGGTAGGAACAATGAAATGCCGCTAACAAGATGCTGTTATTTTCTCACGTAAGAAAATATGCATAGTATCTGGAGCACTTAGACGGCCCTTGATCAGTGGTGGTATCAGTTGTTGCTAAAGTCAGCATTCTCGTGGCCATAATCATGAGCATTTCTGAGGCTGGTCCTGGGAGTCTAACCAAGAAGGGAAACGTTACTTCCAGATGAAGGTAAATCCCAGATTCTATATACCCAAAAAAAGCTTATAAATACATTTTCGTACCAAATTATTTTTGAGTTCTACTGCCCATACTATGTTGAGAGGTCTATTTGTTGTTCTTTCTAGTCTACGTAACTCCTGAGACTGTTAATAGTTGAAGAGTGGAGAATCTCTTCAAAAGAGCTTGAAAACTGAGACTATTTTAGGAACCCCTTGAGGCTTGTGCAGTGGGGAAGAAAGATCCCTTTTATGATGCATATTTCATACTTGCATTGTTTACCACTTCTAAGTTTAGGATGGCAACATGTTCCATATCAGGAGTTTTAACCCAAGGACCTTTGAGAACAGCTTTTATTTTAGATGCTGATTTTTAAATACCAAAGAAAATGTAACCATTACAATGATATTTATCTAAAATGGTATGCCTAACTCAGAATTTTGCTTTTGTAAAGTGTCAATTTAGCTGATTATCCTACAAATGTCCCCCTTAAAATGAGAGTTACCCATAATGGAATCTTTGCCTGAGAAATAACACAAACGTATCAGGTGAAAGTCATGTCACCCAAAAGTAGTTCTTGGCCACCCCTCTTAAAGTGAATTTTGGCTCATTAGTTTTTCTTGTGTTATCTCTGGCTTTTGATACGGATTTTTGGAGCTTAGAACTAATTTTAAATTAACATCAACCTTTTTTTCCAGCTGACCTCGTACATCTTAAGGGTGTGTACTGTACATACTGTCACATAATGAGAAAATAAATACATATTTGGACATGATTAAATAAAAAGCGACACATGTATAACTTGGAAAGAGGATGCTCTTAAGGCCTAACAATTAGTGCTTGGCAGATTTTTTTTCCAGGGATTCTGTTTTTCTGGTGCCTTTGCTTTATTTTTTAATGTGGTCTAAGATAGGAAGTCTGAGCTTTTAACTCATTTGCTGTCTAGACAAATGAAAGCAGCAGGGACTTTGGTAGGTATCTGGACATAAACACTATTACAACACAGGTTAATGCAAGAAAAAGCCTTTAAACATCATGGAAATTAAACAGTCACTGTGAGAATTTTCCTTTTGTGTGTATGTGTCTGTCAATTTATTGACTCAATTCTCATATCAATTTCAAGGTGTATTCATATCACGTGACCAAAAATGATAGTTGTGAAATAAGGGTGGAAGATGTGAAGTAATTTTACAGTGTGTTTCTAAAGAACCAAGAATCTAATGACACTGGATACTTGACATCCAGGATGTTAATTAGAAACAGAGGGCTGATAATTCATTGCTAAGTTTTAATAGCTAAGTCAATAGTTTTCAGTAGAGCATTTATGGTAAATATTTAGAAATATTTGCATGTGCTGGATTACTTTCTATAGTGTTTGCAGCTGTATTTTTCTGTAGAGCTTATAAATTTAGTGATATTTACCGATGAACAATCATATCCATTTTGTCTTTAGCACCGCACTTGGCACAAGAAGTCACTACCCTTAAGAAGGTGAGGGTGTAGTTGAAGAGAGAAAAAGAAAAAGAAAAAGTACACGGTTTTATTTCATTTTAATATTCTAAAAAGGAGAAGAGACACTACTTCTGCTTTTTAAGATAATTAAGAGACTTTTTTTGAAGACCACTGAACTGGCGTTTTAACCTGTGCTTTAAACCCATGGGAAGTCACAGTGAGAAATCATTAACTGTATCCTATTAAAATCCTTAAACAAGAGACCTGAACTGGTCTCATTGATTGAAATATCTTCTCTATTTCTGATTCAGTGTTTATCCTCATGCTCTCCTGGGGCACTTCTGAGCAAGAGATGCCCAAATGTGTGCAGTGCTTGGCAGCTTTCTATGAGCGGCTGATCTAATACCATCAGCTAATTGTATTGAGAACCATAGCTTAGAGTATTTTCATTTGCTTTTTAAAAAACCCACTTATTTAATTAAGCAAGGGAGTAAAATTTTCTGACTTATTCCCAGTTCTCTGAGAAAGTAAAGCCACCAGTATTGACTGAATTTATCCTTTGGTGAGCTAACTTACGCTAAATTGAATACCATCAAAACCAAATATGTCTTTTGATGTGTAGCAAGTCGTCATGTAGTAATGTAAAATATTTTTAGGAAGGATCATGTACAATCTGTAGGCATGAGAGAGTCTTTATACTTAATATCTATTTCAATTATCTGCAGATTTTAAAAAATCCTTCCCATGCATCTTCTTTGTGGGATGTCCCATCTTTATTCCTTCTGACGCTGCCCTCCCTGAGCCTGCCCCAACATAGAGAATCTGAACATATTCATGCTGCATGTTAATTTGTGAATGTTTCTCTTGTCAAAGTCTGATAAGATTGTTATTGCTTTGGGTGGCATTTCATTCTAAGCACAGTGAAATCTCTTGTACTTGTCACTAGGGTTAGAATGAAAATTTTACATGGGCAGAGAGACAGTGGAAGGATGATGGTTACAGAGGGAGAGTCATTGCAGGGAACTGTCATTTAAATTAAGTTTTAAAGCTAAACAGCTTCATGATTTTGGTTTTTGAAGGCAGGGATTTTAAAAAATTAATCATCGATAGTAGAAGTTAAGTTATTTTTGGTGTGCCAGAAAGTAATCAGTATTCCGAGTGATGTCAGTTACTGAAAACCCAACTTAATAGCAAGATTTCACCAAATCACATGATGATAGCAAAATAGTGATTTTACTATGCTTGAGAGCCCATGAAGTCATTGCCTTGCCAATCACCCCATCACAAAAAGAGGACTGATTTATGGAATGCCATGGGGCAGGAGGACTCTCCTAGCCCCTTAAAAGAGACTGCCTGCAATTACCTCACCTGCCAGCTTTCCAGCAAGATAAATGGAAGCACTGTAGCTTGAAGGTGCCTTGGGTAGAATGAGATGCAGTAAGGTCTCTCTGTTCTTTACAGGCATCATAGATCTGATAGTACTTATAAAAGAAGAATAGAGTTGGTGCCCTGCTGACTAAATTGTCCTCTAGAGGAGTATTAGTTACAGAGCTTCTTTGTTAACTAGGCTGAATACTTAAACCACTGTTGAACTTCTTTTATTAGCATGTTTTAAGATAGCTCTACATACAGATACCCTAACAATCTGCAGGGCGGGAATATTTCTGTATAATTTACATATAAAAGTCGCGTGAGTGTGTAACAGTAATATAATAATTATATCTTTTTATTACTCTTCTGTTACACTGAGGTCTAGTCAGCACTGAAATTCTGATGACACATGAACACGAAGAAAGCCACTGTTTTTATATTTTTCTCTTGATACTTCCTTGATCAGCTTGTTGAATAACAGAAATGTTTTTGATGCCTTTGCAACCTGAGTAAAGCCCTCTTAATGCCCATCCGTGTCACTTTTTAAACCATAATATGGAATTTTAAGGGAGAATGGGGATGAAACTTGTAGGCTGTGCAGAGAATTACAAGAACTTCAAAGTAAAATTTCAGATTTTATGATGAGAGATTTGCATAAAATTATTTAACTACAATAGATGATTTTTCAAAAATTAAATCTGATTTGTCCTTTCTACGTTTAACTTCATATATAGTATGGGATTTTATATCTTGTTATCTACCAGGTTTTTTTTTCTTTAGAGAAACATGAAAAGCCTATTTCCTGCCTGATGGCTGTTCTCTGACTGCCGCTTGTTTATTGGTCATTGCCGTGTGGTGGGTACTGTCAGGGCCTGGATATGGAGGCTATCACCCATCCTGGGTTTTTATGATCCCTTCAAAAAGAGTAAGATTATATGGAGTTGTCACTCAGTATTTTTCAGGGGGATGTAGTAACGGAGTAAGTTCCTGTTCCTGTTAAAGCTTGTACCAGTCATGATGTATGGTAAAGTTATGGTGCATTTCAGCTGAGGCCTGTCCTAATTCCTGTTTTTCCCCCAAGGAATAGGCAAAGGCAGTAGGGATGGTGTGAGTACACGTGGTTCTTTAAATCAGGGGTCAGCAAGCTTTTTCCGTTAAGGGCCAGAGAGTAAATATTTTCAACTTTGCAGCCCCTGTGGTCTCTGTCAAGACTTCTGTTGTTGAGTCCAGTAATCAAGTTAAATATAAAGTTTCACCAGCTGAATATGTACAAAACCATGCATCTCACGTGCCCTTACATTTCTGCTAATCATAAGGATTAGCATAAATGTTTATATACCTTTGAATTCTAACAATCGGATTGAATTTACTTAATTTTATTTTGGATTTTTTCTGGAACTGCATCTCACCGTGTCACCTAGGCTGGAGTGCAGTGGCTGCTCACAGGTACACTTGTAGCTCACTGTAGCCTTGAACTCCTGGGCTCAAGCACTCCTCCTGCCTCAGCTTCCCGAGTAGCTGGGACCACAGGCTGTGCCATCACTCCAGGCTTCTGTTTTGGAGATTTGATGAACTTTTTCTAGGGGTGCTGTTTGCAGTCTGCTCTGTTGCTGTTCTGTTGTTTCCCATAAGCACAGTCATTGGACATTGAAGATTTTGTGGAATGAAGACGTTTTCTGTTTTACTTAGAAAGATATTCTTCTTAGCAGAAGACATTTTGTTTTTCTATAGCATTTCTCTTTTTGATTAGGTTCTGTCAGGTATACTTTAGAATATGATTTTTAAAGAGAAGTTAATTATATGCTATAACAGATGCTTACCAGATAAACTAAACTATCCAGGGTACTAGGATCCTAATCCTGAGTTTGCTTTGTGACGTTTCAGGAAACCCTGAAGAGCTATAACCAGCTCTGATTTCCCTTGCTTTTTTTTGTACTTTCTGGTCTAGGTTTACTCTTAGAATCTTAGCATTTTCCTCTGCCAGATTCTAAAGCCCTATTCTCAGAAGTCCCAGTTGCAAGCAGTGAGGTAAAATTTAACATTGATAAAATTTAGAGGGTGGAGATCTATTAGGATTGAATATGCTTTGTAAACAGTAGCATAACCAGATATTTCTGACTCCATTCTATAGTATGTAGTCTTCAGTTATCAGGACAAGTATCTTTTATGCTGTAACTCAGCCTTGAGAACTCGTTGGCACATTGCTCGGTCAGTGATCTGGGAGTCCAGTCATTGCAACGGGGATGCACTGAGCACCTGCTGATGGGGGCCTCCATGGGAGCCATGGGGGGCACACCAGTGATGCAGGCTGAAGTAAAGGCTTTGTCTGCGTCCTCTTCTGCTGAGGGAGCAGAAGACAGTTTCTTCTTCCTCCTCTCTCATCTTCCCCTTTTCGTCTTTAGCACCTACAGTCTGTCCTCAGTAACGTAACCTTCAACAGTAACTTGGACTCTCTGAGCTTCCATTGTTTTGTATCTGTATCAATGGGGTTTTTAATCACTGCCTCAGAGAGTATGGTGATAAAATATAGATGGCATTGACGGTGAAAAACTGGTATTAAAAAGTAAGATATAACATTAGGACCCATTTCTGCCAACATAACTTCAAAGACATTTATTTTCACAATATCATATATAAATACACACATTATTATTTTCTTTTAATGGCACTTTATTGTAAGAATTTCTCGGCCAGGCACAGTGGCTCATGCCAGTAATCCCAGCACTTTGGGAGGCTGCGGCAGGCAGATTGCCTGAGGTCAGGAGTTCGAGACCAGCCTGGCCAACATGGTGAAACCCCGTCTCTATTAAAAATACAAAAATTAGCCAGGTGTGGTGGCAGGTGCCTGTAATCCCAGCTACTAGGGAGGCTGAGGCAGGAGAATCGCTTGAACCCAGGATGCAGAGCTTGCAGTGAGCCAAGATCGCGCCATTACACTCCAGCCTGGGCGACAAGAGTGAGACTTCATCACCTCCCCCCCAAAAAAAAAAAAACTTTCTCATCACAAAGTTTGGTCAAAATTGTGACTGCTATTACATTACAATATCCTAGTTTGAAATTCACGTAGTCCACCAGTGTCAAATTCTGAAAAAAAGGACTCAAAGCCTGTAGTTTTTTACTTTATGAAGTAATCATTTAAGAACCAGCATTCCATTCCTATGGTAAGTCACCAGGCAGAGTGCTGTCTGTGTTGTGTGGCATTTTGAACAGGTCTAATGGACTCGGTGCTGACAGCTGAAGGGCAAACTGTATGGGGATGGTTTTATCAAAGAGAAGTACAACTTTACTCATTTTTTAGGAGAGAGGCAAGATCTTATTGGTTCAACTTACAAATGACCTCATTAAAATCTAATAAAAAGTGGCCATGCTTTTTTATTTTGGGTGTTACCCAGAAAACCTTCATCTCTGAAGGGGACGTCATTATGATTTTCAAGTCGTCTTTTGATGAGATATTCATCCAAACGTGTCACTCTATAAATACATCTTTTCCTTTCTTAGGATCTGTCTGGCTCCATTGATGACCTCCCCACGGGAACGGAAGCAACTTTGAGCTCAGCAGTCAGTGCATCCGGGTCCACGAGCAGCCAAGGGGATCAGAGCAACCCGGCGCAGTCGCCTTTCTCCCCACATGCGTCCCCTCATCTCTCCAGCATCCCGGGGGGCCCATCTCCCTCTCCTGTTGGCTCTCCTGTAGGAAGCAACCAGTCTCGATCTGGCCCAATCTCTCCTGCAAGTATCCCAGGTATTTACTTTCCTGACAATTATTATTTTACTTTGTGATAAAGAGAGATTTCATGTTCATCAACAGTAACTCACATTACTTTACTATTTAAAACCTAGTGGCCACATATTAAGAGTATAACTGAATTCTCACCAAGGCATACGAGAGTCCCAGTTCCTAAAGATATTCAACAGGTGATTATAACTACCCCTTTAATAAAATGACCAATTACTTTGATAATTTCAATTTGCATATTTACCTTAACTTATGCCAGAAACAGGGTATTATTTATCCTCTTAGCATATGTTTTGTAATGATTCTGTTACATCAGAGCTTCTGTTGATGAGTGCCACTAAAGTGAGATTGTTGATGAGGATTGGCCTTATTTTTTTGTGGTTCTATTCAATACTTGCCACAGCATTTATTTTCTAAAACATTTCTACAGTCTATACTTATCAGTGTCTGATCACATGCAGGCACTGGTCAAGGTGGAGCATGGTCGAGGCGTTCTTACTGATACAAACTCGTGCCTTCTCTTGGACACAAGGAGCCCATGTTCTGGTTAACTCTGTGTTCATTTATTTCACTTGTCATGCATCGCCTCTATCTTCTCCCTTTATTATGTTCTCGAGGTTATTTATTTGGTTATTTATTTGTCAGTTACTTCATCCTCATCCAGCTTTCTTATATCAGACTTCATCCATTCAAGTCTACCGTACAACTAGCTTTCCTTTATCACCAAACCAGATAATTCATTCTATCCTTCCAAAATCATGGGCGTTAGTTTTGGTGCTTTTTAACGTTTCACCTCTTTTATATTAAAAAAAAAAAGTGTATTGTGGAATGTTTAGAATATTACACATATATATCTCTAAATAAAAGAACATACATAGCACACTAATTATGAAACATCAACTATCAAATAAACATTCATGAATTCACCATCCGGTTTAAGAATTAGAGTATCATAATGCCATTGTATCTACCTGTATATTTCTTCCTTATCCCAAGCTCTATACCTCTTCCTCACTTCAAATATCCTTTTAATCTTTTTTAAAATATTGTTCTTTTGGTTTTTGGGTTTTTTTCTAAGAATTTTATTACAAACATTCATAGAGTATATATTGTTTTATTAAGTTCTTAGCTTTATGGAAATGTATTATATTTGGAATGACTATAATTTATCATCCAATATGAGACACTTTTGTGCATGCAAAGGGCTACTATTAACAATTACAGTAGGATAGCGGCATAAGCCAGAAGGTCTTGGGCAGGTCAGATAATATGGTCAACCCACTTGTAGTGTAGGCTAAAATTTGCTTTTTTTAACTAAACGTTACATTTCTAAGATTCATCTGTAATTTGATATAGGTATACGCTCAGTGCATTTTGATTAAAGCATTTCGATGTTATCTTTCTTTCAAAGATATATGTTTGTCCTCATAGTGTTTGTAATAACCTGGACTTATCTGCTGCTTTTAACTTTTTAATGCTATGAATACTCTGTAGTCTAGAGTTTTTAAGACAGTTTTTGGTGTTGAGATGGTTTGTGAGATGTCACCTACCTAAATGTTGGAAAGTTATATGTAAAATATTGCGTTACTCAAAGAGCTTACTCTTTCATTCTAAATTGAGTCAAAAGGACTTTTTCTAAAAACCTAAATGAAAACTTTCTTGAGGTATAAAGATATAATGCTTTTAAATTTTAAATTCCTGACATGAGTAGTTAACCATCTGAAGACTTTCCACATGTCTGTCCTTCCAAATGGGGATTTCTAAACTTGTATATTCATTGTTTGGATTTGATGCAATACAGAAGATAAAACCCAACAGAAAAGCTCACTTCGGGCATGTGATCCTGGGTATCAGGTGTTACATTATATAGTATTTTACAGAGGAAGTAGCTCAGCAAATTTAACTGGCCTCAGAGTCTGTGGTTCAGTTGGTTTGCACAGGGTAAAAGCTGGTGAGTGGGTTATACACCATCACAAAGGATGCCCATTCTTCGCAGTGACTGCAGATGCGTGCGGACGGAGAGCACAAGGATCTCACTATCATTTCTCCCTGCTAACTCCTAGAAAGCTTTCCACTTTCTTGGACACGTTATTTAAAGTGTATAGTTTGTTTTTTAAACTTGTGTCAGAAACACTTACCACCATATTGCTTCACTGTACTATTCCAAGTCAGCTCCTCTGTAGCCGACCTCTATATGGTGCTTGGTAAAGCTATTCAATGAAATTTAGTACCGGGAGGAAATTAGGCAGCAAAAGCTCCACCTTTTTTTTGGTGGCATATTCTTCAAGTAAATTCTTAACTGTCTTTGCTAAATGCAAAGCTACATGGGGTTAGATTATATAAATATGACAAATAGAACATTTCTTAGTATATTCGCCATGGAGTAACCTCTTAAAAAATCTGATAAACAATTTTGGCATTTATTCACCTTTCTCCCAAGTGGAATTACAAACATTTGAACTTGATGGACTTTCATAATTATCTGATACTAGCCATATAACCTTGAAGAAGCTTCTAAGCCTCTCTGTGCCTCAGTTTCTGCATCTGTAAAGATGATAACCCCACCTTATAGGGGAAATGCAAAGATTAAATGTGTCACTGCACGTGAGACAGGTACATGCGGAGCACTCAGTGCTTGTTGATTCTTACGATGTTACGTTCACCATTATGGATATTATTCAAACTGAGACTGTCTGTGACAATTACTGTTCAGAGTTGTACAGTTGATTTAGGCAGCAAGTCTTCTGGTTCTTAATCCAGTGGTGTTTTTGTGCAATTCAGAAGACATGTATGTTGTTCCCAGTAATGACTTGGTGTGTTTGCTGAGGTAGTTCGGTAGGACTGCTAGAGCTAGCCATGAAAGCATAATATATTTTCACAGAGTTGAGCTCAGTTTTCTTCTAGAAAAAAAAAAAAAGTCCACGTTCCTCTTGGAGTTTGAGCCTGAGAAGGTTAAGAGGAAGACCGGAAAACGAGAGAGAATGACTGTACCCCAGAGATTAACAGAATTTCTACTGTTGTCTCTACACATGAAAATTTTAGCTGAACACTTAGCCCCTGCTTCTCTCAGATCATAGGCAAACATTTATGCTAGACCGCCTGCCTGCCACACAGAAAAGTTAACAATAGATGCAGTATAAAATCCTGGATTATTTTCCCTCTTTTTGCCTGTGTGGAGGCCACATCAGCTAACTGTGAGCAGCACTTCCTGCCCAGTGGTCACTGCCAGGGCTGCTGTAAACACTTCAACAGGTGCTCATTGCACAGGGTCTGAGTGGTGAATGGGAGTTGACATCTACCTGCCCTCTTGTGGGAAGGGGCACCATTTTCTCATTCATACAGAGGAGCCAGGTTACCCTCAGTAACCTTGTCCTAGACCTTGGGGGAGTAGTCCATGGCTTGAGTCCAGGTATTACCCATTTCTCTTTGTTCCCACAGCTAAGCCGAGGGCCACTCAAATGTCAGTTTTTGATAACAGTTCATCCAACATTTTATATGCAGCTATTTTAATGGAATTTACTCAAAGCTCATGACAGGTTTTTGTTGGGGAAAAAAAATGATTGTCTTCTATTTCCATTTCCCTCCACCTAGGCACCCTGTCCTTTCGAAGTTTTTAAATCATTTCCCTAAGATTCATATCCTTATTCTCTGAGAAGTATTAAATATATTAAGTTATCCAGCGTGCATTATGTTATATATTTGTGTGATCTTGGTCATAGGTAATAAAACCACATTTTGGAGATGATCATAAAGTTGGTCTTTGCTTTTTGTTTTATATTTACTTTCACCTAAATGCAAATACACCTTCCTTTAGAGAATAATGAGGCCCATCTCCCTCCTCCTTTTCCCATCTCTAATCCTTATATTTAAATGGTGTGTATCTATACATCAGATCCCAAGTTCATATGCAGTCCACCTTCATTTGGTTCTGAGTCTGCCAGTGAACCATACATGCCATGTAGAGACGACATGCTCTCCCAGGCGTGATACTCAAACTGTCGAGCTATCTGTTAGGAATTTCCCTTTATTTTTCTATATGTAGTCTTTTGTTTTCTTTCTGTCCCCTTCCTTCCTCTTACTCCCAGCACCAACTTGTGTTTGGCCTCTCTTCTCTCCTGTTGCTTCCTGCCATATCTCATCACCTCCTCTCCATGTCTCACAGACTGGCTCTTTCAATCATTGTCTCTCCAACAAGTCATTGTAAAATGTGCAGCTGTTATGTAGCTGATAGCTGGGATGAAGTAAAGCCAAATGTTGCAGGGGATTCTTCCTGATGTTGCTTTCCTAGGATTTGTTGAAAAAAAACAATCATTTTTCTCCATCTCTACCCTGGTAAATGTAATTGACAGCTAATGAGAAGTATCACAGAGGTAGATAAACGAAGCCCAGTAAAGCATCCCAAATGGCTGATTCTGTTTCTTGCCTGTTAAACTGTTCCTCCACCCACTGCAGATTTGCCCTCCTATCTTGCTGCATCACAAACATTGTGAGTGTCATGGGAACCACTACTGTGATACACTGGTACAACACTGCCCCGCCACATCCCTAACTCAGCTGGGCTTTTCCTCCTGCATTCTTTGGAGAAGCAGAATGGAGATTTTTTATGTTAGGTAGCCACATGGATTCTCTCCCTTTGTTTGCACATTCCTGGGCTCCAGCTTTGCAGCTCTCTATAGTTAGAAGGTAAAGAATTCAGGCCTGCTTGTTGACTCTAAACAAGCATTTGAGAACAGAAACACAAACGCTGTACTCTCCCTCCAGTGCCATCACAAATTTTCTTGTTTTTTACCTATTCTCTCTCCTCTTCATACTGATGTATTTATATTTAGAGACAGAAATGAAATAGCTCCATCTTTGTAATTGGCAGTGTGTATTCATATACTATACATTTAAATTAAGTAGATGTAATGTCAGGTACAGTTAATTCTGAAATGTGTGATATTAGACATGATGCTGATATTCTAGTAAATGATCCCATCACGTTGCACTTACACTGCTTCTTGGGTTATATCCTAGCGTTTTTCACTTTGGCGTTAGGAGGGCTGCTGGGTTTTGGATGTGTATTGAACAGGTCTTGGGTCTTACGCTGGGCCTGATTGCCCCTAATGCATGGTGGAAGCTGACTCAGCACGGCATCTGAATGCACCGCTGTTGCCAGAAGATTCTGCGGATGTTAATTTCACTTGTCTTGCCTCCAGAGCCAGCCATTCCAGTTTACTAACAAAGCAAAAATGTAAATAAGCCAAACTTAAAAATTTTTTATTTTATTGGCCAGAGGCTTTTGTCAGCTTTTCCTCCATGTGCTGTAAGCAGCGGCAGTGTTTAAATATTGAGAGGAGGGAGCTCACCGTGGGGGTGAGGAATGGACAGGCAGGTGTTAACTGTTCATAGCCTGGCTACTTTTGTTTATAAAACTAAGCTCATCTGTTTTATTAATGAAGATCTAAGGATAGTAACTGAAAATTCCTGAATAGATTTTTCCGCATTCTTTTTTAGGCATTAGGCATTTGGTATTTGTACTAAGTCCAGTGTAAGTAGAGTTAACTCACTTTGATCTGGCAGCAGAAGGCCACTGATTATAATAGATTAGGGTCAAAAACACAAAATTAGGTCTTCACGCTAGCACATAATGAGTAGCTGTTTGTTTCATGGCTATTGTTCTTCTTGCTTGGTATTAGGTAAGACTAATCAAAGGCAACATCATCTTAGCTATCATAGACAGAAACAAAATAGAGTTGCATCAAATATGAAAGTAGAACCCTTTTTCTTTTCACATTTCGTGCTTCGCTGTTTGAGGCGCTCACCTGCCACCTGGCCTCTCGGCAGACTACCTGCTGGCTGGCTGGGCATGAGGGATGGGTCAGGGTGCCTTCAGAGCTGAGACTGTGAAGCCGGGAGGCACAGGTCAGGAGGAATCTCACTCACATTCCAGGAGCCACCTTCACTGCTCCCATCTTTTTCTACTGATACCTCCCCTCCCCTTCTCCCTCTCCAGCCAGCTGCGCTTCACCCTACTCCAGTGATCACCTCTGCACGTGTGCCTCCTGCCTGGGGTAGCCGCCTCCCGCCTGGGGTAGCCTCTTCCAGGAGCCCCTCCACAGTGCACAGCATGTGGCACCTGCTAATGTGAACTCATACCCAGTGAATAACTTCAGTCTCTGTCCTTTGAAAAGGATCACAGGTGTGACGAGCCTGAAGAAATCGCTTGGTCAGAGCTCGTCCTCCTACGCCACAAAGCACCAATTCCTTTATAGTGGAGCCTAATTCTCTGCAGCTTTATCATGGCCATTCCTAGAGGGCGAGAGATGCATCCAGCATACCAACCAGCCATAATGAATCTGTGCCCCTCAGGAAAATCTCAGACAAAAAGCATGAGTTCTAGAAAGGGTGGCACGTATTGGATTAAATATGGAAAAGAACTGTTTGGCAGCACTGGGGTGTATTTAGAGCTCTTCTGTGTGAGTGCTCACCCAGTCCCACCCTTCAGCAAGTGAGAGCTAAGTAGATTTCTCTACCAGCCGATATAGCTGCAGATACAAACAAGAAGATATTCTGGTCAAAAAACTAATTTTCTTGCTTAATTTGACATTCAAACAAGCAGAATCTGGAAGGATGCTATAATGGGAAAGAGAAAGATGAATCTCAGTTAGGAGTTAGTCATAGTCCAGAGTGAACAGGAAGGATTCCAGTGAGAGGAAATGATAGCTCCTGGTCTAATTTGTCAAGATTAGTACCTATCAGATGAACAATGGAGGATGCAAACCAATGTCTCTCTTTCATTTAACCCATTTCTCCTGGAGTTTTAGGTCTCTTAGGGCTCAAGCCCATCCTAAGTAAATAAACTTTCTACTTTTTAATTTGGCCTTAATAAAACTCAGGGTAAAAAGCATGAGTTTATTTCTATATGTAAATGGTTCTTAGCCAGTGTCGTTTCGTGATGACATTAGCAGTAGACCCTCTAAAATGGCATTTCTTGTACTGACAGAAATTTTTTATTTGAAAGTCTGCATAATCATCTTACCTAATAATCTTATTTTTAAATATCTATCGAATGTTCCTTTTTGGCTTCACTGGAGGTGGAAATCCTGCAACAGCTTGTTGCAAGGAAGATGCATGCTGCTTATTGGCAAGCCGAGGAGGAAAAAAAAAATTAACACAAAATGCCATTGATATATCCATGTTTTTAATCTGTGGCAGCACAGAAAACCAATTCAGCAGTTCTACAAACCAAAGAGAACTTAAGCCAGTATTTTTTTCCCTGACAAAGTAAAATATTTGGATGTTATACAAAACTATTTCCATTCCCTTCCAAATGCTGCTTAGCAATAGTTAAGAAAGCAAATTGTATATTTTGTCTTTTTGAGAGACGGGGTTGCATCTCTGTATGGCTTAGTTATTGGTAGCGTGATGTAGAACCTCCCACTTTAAGATAACAGCTTTAAAATTCAGGCCAAGATCCTGGTTATGGAAACTCAGCAAGTCCATGGGTCATGAATATTCTCAGCGCTGTTTCTAGAGGACAGATTCCCCATTGCTGTCTGGTGGCCAAGGCCTTTGCGTTTGAAGAACTGCCTCAGTGTTCTGAGCTACTCTTCTCCTTCAGAGGTCACTCCACACCCCAAGTCAGGTATTCTGATGGGTGGGGAATGAGTATTCTTTTCTTCAAAAGCACAAATCTTTTCAATCTTTCATTCCAGCAAACTTCAAATTAAGCCTTTTCTCCTCTTCTTTCTCCCACATTTAGAAATAAGAAAACAATAGAAATTTATCAAAATACAAATTCCCACTTGGTTTTGCTCCTCTCTTAATTAAAAAAAGTTGGGCAACTCAGTTTAAATTATCCTGTCAATTTCCGTTCCCTTTCTCTATTCTTCTGTGTATGAAAATACAAGAAAGCCTGTGTCACCAAGGCAATATTATGTGCCTTTTTCTTGCTCTGCAATCTCAGCAGTGACTCATGTGTTTTCATGGTGGGTCTAATGGTCCACTCCCACTTCTCCATTATTTTTTTGCATTGTTCTCTGGAGAAGCACTTCAGACACCTCGTTCTGTTTGTTTTCACTCTTGAGCTGAGTAGGCTGTCCCTGCTCTGAACCTCTGCTCAGCTGAGTGTCACTGCGTCTGGATTCTGCGTGTGCTGCCTCTGTGGAAATGCTGTTGGCATTGACCCGCTGCCTTCTCCCTTCGCTGAGAATGAAGATTCAGAATGGAGGGGTACAAAAGCTTTTATGAACTAATTTTAGCCTAGAAGTAAAAAGTTTCAAAAATCACTTGAGTACATTTTGGAAAATGGTGGGTAAATGAATAGTACTTAGAGTCAAGATGCTCCTAAAGTTGATTTCACAAACTTCTGGTATATCACCATGTTTCCTAAAAGAGAATAAGTAACAATTGTGGAAGGAACAAAACCATTTTATAGAGAGTGTTAGGTTTATTTCCCAGTCTTCTGATAACCCTGGAGCCAGGATTATTATGATGTGTTGATTGATTATAGCCGTTAAGACTCTTACTAATCAGTTTCATCACTTATTCTCAATTCACACACTTGCATCTTTGATTTCTCTTCCATAACAGGGTGATATGGGTTGTCATTGACTAATGAAGAACAGAATTGGTTTCGGCATGAGACAAACGGAATGCCTTCACTAATCCTAAAATGCATTAATCTTTCATAATCCACATCTGCATGTTTATAAATGATATAACTAGGAATTGTTAATGTTGATATTCTCCCTTCCAAACAGAAAGTGACATGGGAGTTTGTACTTGCAAACTGCATTAAATACATAAAGCTGAATGCCAAGAGTGTGACCTTGCTGAGGATGCCAAATATATTACTTCATTTGATGGTTTTAGAAAAGTAGCATGTTGCACTTTGAGTGTTGGATATACCAGGAGATATCCTGTGGAAAGCCAACTATCCTAATTGTTCCGTTTCCTTCCTGCCTTATTTTATCATTCTATTCTGTCATTAATTCAGCAAAGCACTGAGTGTGTATTATGCTGCAGGCGTAGTAAGTGGGGTAAAGGCGCTGAACATAAACTGCAAAGGGTCCTGTCCTCGTGAAACTTAAAGTCTAGTGGGAAAGACAGGAAATACATAAATAACTACATACTTTATTGTCAGGTAGTCAAGGAAAAAAATCAGGTTACTTCTTTAGATAGCAGTGGCTAGTTAGGGCAGGTGTCTCTCTTAGAAGCTGATATTTGAACAAGAGAAGTGAAAGAAGGGCAGGGGCAAGCCATGTGAGCATCTGGGAAAGGAGATCCAGGCAGAGAACGGAGCAAACTCAAAGGCCCTGAGTTAGTATTGTGCTTAGTGTGTTGGGCGGCGAACACCAGGAAATCAGTGTAGCCACAGCATAGTGGTCACGGGCAATGGAGCAGAATGTGTGGGCAGTTAGGTGAGAGAGGAGCTAACGACTTTGTAGGTTATGATTATGATTTAGGAGGTTTTTTTATTACTTCTTTTTGAGAAGGAGTCTCACTCTGTCTTCCAGGCTAGAGTACAGTGGCACGATCTCCACTCACTACAACCTCTACCTCCCAGGTTCAAGCAATTCTCCTACCTCAGCCTCCCGAGTAGCTGGGACTATAGGCACATGTCACCACGCTTGGCTAATTTTTATATTTTTAGTAGAGATGGGGTTTCGCCATGTTGGCCAGGCTGGTCTCGAACTCCTGACCTCTCGAAATCTGCCCATGTTGGCCTCCCAAAGTGCTAGGATTACAGGCGTGAGCCACCGCGCCTGGCCGATTTAGGAGTTTAAGTGTGATGTGATCCCTCTGGAAGGTTGGGAAGGCAGGAAATAGCATAATCCTGTTTAGGTTTTAGGAGGCTCACTGTGGCTGCTAAGTGGACAGTATACTGTAGGGGAAGGTGGGAGCAGAGACATCGGAGGCTCCTGCAGTAACCACGCGGAGTGTTGATGGCCGCTTGGATGTGCACATAGCGGGAGTAGTGGCAGAAGGAGTTTGGCCGAAGGAATTGGTAAATGATGGTTCTGTACAGAAGACAGAGGAACACGTTTTTGAAGGGGAATCGAGAGTTTGGTTTTAAACATACTGTATTTGAGGTTCCTACTGGGCATCCTAAGGGAGGTTTTGAATAGGAGGTTGGATAAGATCTGGACTCAGGCAGTATTTTGGTGGGAA
Organism: Homo sapiens; assembly: GCF_000001405.40. Lineage (NCBI taxonomy): Eukaryota > Metazoa > Chordata > Mammalia > Primates > Hominidae > Homo > Homo sapiens. The sequence continues at coordinate 157,095,055 of NC_000006.12, forward strand.
AAATGAGTGTGTGAGGCTTTAGGGTTCAGGATGAGGTCCCCTGGGCACCCAGCCTGCCTCAGCATCACTTGGAGGGCTTGTGATTCAGTAGTTGTGGGGTGGAGCCCGAGAGTTTGCATTTCCAATAATTTCTAGTTCTGCTGAAGCTGCTGGTCTGGGAAGTACTGGCCTAGGGAGTGAGTGAAGGTCAGTGCTCCTCAGCACTCGCCACACAACATGCCTGGGAAAGGACCGGTGCTGGCCCAGCCCTGGAGATGCTGAGCTAATCGGTCTGACACGGGGTATTCCGTCAGTACTTTCTTAAAGCTCTCCAGGTGGTTATTATGCACAGCCAAGGCTGAGAATCACTGAGAGAAGAATTCTGAGGAAACCCTGGGGTACCCAAAAAGGTAGAGACTGTGAAAAAGAAATGCAAGAAGAAATGTTTCTAGAATATGGAAGAGAGCACCCGTGTCCAAGACAACTTAGCACTTCCCCAGTGCTCCATGGGCGTGCCTGAGAAGGAGGCCTGTCTTCCCAGTTAGGAGCACATACATTTCTCACAGGAAAGTTGAGGGATGATTAGCTCATGTGTTAAGGGCGGCATAGTGCTGAGGTTTTTTCCCCTGATCTTTCTAGAACTAGATTTGGTTCAGTTGAAAGTAATGTCACAGAAAAAATTCTTGTGCAAAAATACTGTTGTATTCTCAAGTCCAGTTCAGTTAGCAGCAGACTTCCTCATTTCCACAATTGTTACCTGAAGTTCATTTCACATGAAATCCAAGAATCATGTTATTTTAATTCTACTTGAAAAAAGGCAAAAAAAAGTATCACATTTTAAGAGAAGCGAGCCTCAGTGGATATATTTTTGCTGCTTGTTCGTTTTTCATGTGGCCTCAGTGCCTTTTCTTAGAAGCCGACGGAGGAACTAGTTGAGAATTCCCTGTCTCTATACCACTGACCATGACTTTGCGTCAGATCTTTGTCCCTAGAGCTGCATTAAAGAATAATGTGATTTATCCTTTCTGCCTGGAACATCCATCCCACTCTTCATGCAGCCCAGCAAACTCCTCCTTACCCTTCAAGACCCCGCTAAAGGATCTTTCCCTTCACGAAGTCCTTGCTGACCCCTGCAGCCCCGGAGTTCAGCTCTCCCTCAGGGCTGCCCCAGCTGCCTGAGCCCCTGGCGGGCTGAGAGCCTCTTTCTTCTTTTTGTCCCCAGTGCCAAGAACAGTGCCTGGCAAGTAGCGCTATTCAGTAAACATGGGCCAAATTAAAGAACTCACAGTTCTCTTAGAAAAATGGGAATTCAAAAGGAGAGAGTTCTGAAATTGGTGACTTATAACCTTTCTCCTGTGGGCTTGGAGCCATCTTTCTGCCTTTGCATTTCACCCTCCATGGGATCATTCTTTTCCCCTCCCTCCTGAAAGCGACTCCACTGTGACAGATACCTTTCACAAGTGTGCTTGCCGAATATTTAGTCCAATCTGAAAGAAGTAATGGAGAGTACTTGAGGTCGTGCTCGAGAACCTTCCTCTCCACATTGCCACAGTCAGAGGCTCTGTGGCCTGCACAGCCCTCCTTGTCCCCTGGCACTCAGCATGGAGAGCTTAGCCGTGCCCAGGCTGGCACTGCCTCTGGCAGAGTTTACTCCTGAGCTGCGGGGTCCCTGAGGGTGCCCACTGCCACCCGCCTGGACCTCCCAGTTCTAGCCTCGTGCTGGAGAGGTCTGCTCTCCCCCCAGCAACCTCACAAGCCCAGCACTGTTAAAAAGGAGTCTGGTTATTGATTAATCCGGGTTTCATTGTGCAACTCTATATCTCTTGAAAAAGCACTTATTTAAACACCCAAATGTATTAATATGTCATGGTGTGAATTGTGATAGTGAAGCAAGGTAAGCAGGTGCTGGTTTCCTTCAAATATACATTGTGAAGTGTTGATTTATCCCCCTTAGATCCTGGAGATTTCACTCAGGAGCCTGGGGTTTTTTGTTTGTTTGTTTTTTAAGTTTTTCAGAATAGTAAGTGGTTTTAGCTGTCTCGTTCTTTACTTTTAAAAGTATGAGTTTTATGCCAAGGGTTTAAAAATCTTAAGTTTTATCATGAAAACAAGCTGTCATTAGTTAGTATAATCACAAATGCAATGAAATTTTAAACTCTGTAAGAAAAAGCATATTATTTTAGTACATAAATTGACACTTAATTCTATATCTAAATGGAGAATTTATAGAAACCATGCCACCTATAGTACCAGTGTTTTATCTGTTGGTCTCAACTTTATACATTCTGTGTTATTTCCCTCAAATTCCAATATTTAATTCCCAAACCCTGTATTTTTCCCTCCCTCTTCTGACATCCAGACGCAGCATAAAGATGCCCATTGATTGACCACGTGTGCCACCTTTTGGTCTGGAAAACACGGTCCCTCGTACCTACAGGGCACAGCAAGCGCTCACGTGCTATATTCTCTTTTAGGTGCAAAATGACTCCAAGGGAGTGAGCATCCGCATGTGGCACTTCTCATAGCCAACCACCCATGTTTACAGGCAGAGTTGTCACGAAGCGTTGGAACCCAGAATGAGAAATTTGTGACAAGAGAGGGTGGAGGCGAGTGAAACTTTGATTAAAGGAAAGTGCCTTGGCTTTAAAAAGGCCTGTCTCTATCCGGCAGCACAGAGCAGCGATCAAGTGGAAGAAAGGGAGCAGGCAGGCGCCTCAGCTAATCTTTCTCCTGGGGGCCCAGGTGGACAAATTGGCAACCCTGTTCACAGCTTTTTTTCTTCTCCCCTTTGTGTCATAAGAACTGCTAATCGGATCCATGCTGCTGCAACTGTGGTTAGTTATTAGCAGAATAAAAGCAGATTTCTTCAAAAGAACGGGTGGGGGAAACGACTATACAAAATTGCAAGGTTGTTAGAATCTAAAATGCACAGCAGTCGATTTTTCCCCTTATTCTGAATTAGACGATGAATACAAGTCTTTCATCTGTCACTATACCCATTTCTTCAGAGGCAGCCAAATATTAAGCTTCTCAAACAAAAAAGGAATCTTAGAAAGAGGAAAAATATTGAGGAGGAATAAGAATGGGTGAGAGAAGGGAAAAATTAGGTTTTGTTTTTATTAATTTGCCCTGGTGAGAGAAATATAAACCATCCCTCTATTTGGTGTTCTCCCCGCCGCCTCTTACCTTACATCAAAGCGAGGATTCGAGAGAATGGAGCTGGTGGCTGTTCAGCATTTTATGTCTGGTGTTCTGCCTGAGGAAAGTTCAGAACCTACCTCTTTTCTTACAGATAGCAGAGTGCTATGAATCCGGACTTCCTGGGGGAAGGCCGGGCTAGCGATGCCATACCCAAATGTGGAGAATAGACCTTTCCCTCCACAAGTGGGTTTTCACGTGGCCCAGTAGACCTTGGAATTGTATGCCTGAGCTTTAAAGCTATTGCAAAGGGTGTGTTTTGATGAGAATGCCAGATTTTCAGCATGGTAGTTGATGTACTTCAGGACATCATGGACTTTCACAGGGGATGCCTCGCAGATCCTCAAGATTCCCAAAGTTAGAAGTGGTTCCTGCTTTCAACCAAATCACATTTTTGGTCATACTGCCTATTTACTATTCATGTCTTCACATCTGAAGTTAACTAAAGTTGAGAAGCTTTCCTTAAAGTTCCATCTTTTATTTAATGGCTGTTTTATCCACAAAGACACAGTTTTTATTCACCTCCCCAGAGTCGGTCCTGAGTGGAGTGGCAAGTGCAGTGGGACCCAGGCTGAGCTGTGCCAGCCGCCACCCTGAGAGTTGTGCCTCAGTCAAACCCAAAGCACATTATATTCCCACACCTTTCAGGCCACTTAGCAGTCATCCAGACTAAAAATGTCTCATTTTAATGCGGAGAATCCTCTGTATGTAAATGTTTTATGACTCCAGTTTATTTTTTTTATTTTTTTTGAGACGGAGTCTCGCTCTGTCACCCAGGCTGGGGCGCAGTGGCATGATCTCAGATCGCTGCAGCTTCCGCCTCTCAGGTTTAAGCAATTCTCCTGACTCAGCCTCCCAAGTAGCAGGGATTACAGGTGCCCACCACCACGCATTTTTGTAGAGACAGGGTTTTATCATGTTGGCCAGGCTAGTCTCGAACTCCTGACCTCAAGCAATCTGCCTGCCTTGGCTTCCTGAAGTGCTGGGATTACAAGCGTGAGCCATTGCGCTGGGCCAACTCCAGTTTATCTTTAATCAAAGCTGTGCTGACTTAAATAGTTAAGTCTAGAAGTCCGTGCATCACCATGTATCCTCTGACTTAACTTGTCCTTTGCCTTGCCAGAGACTTTTCAGTTTCTTTGCCCCAAGTTCTCTGTGGGAAGGTATCTCCCCAAAAGGGATCTCATGGGTATTAGTGATCAGACTATTAAACCAACTTGCAAGGGTCTGTCTTACCCTCGCACCTGTCACAGAGTTATGAGGAGGACCCATGCGAAAAACATTGTGTAGTTTTAGTATGTTTAATTAATAAAAGAAAAGTTCTGGTTTGAATCTATGATAGCAGGCTGGGTGAGTAACGTTTTATAAGTTGGTCTTTAAGGGCTTTTATGAGGACATAATTCACATAGACCACATCATACTCACTTCTGTTTTCTACCTGTTGGCTGATCGTCCTTTATAGCTAATCTATCTTCAAGCCTAGGAGTGAGGTTTAGAAAAAGACTTGGAACACTCAGACCACAGTAGGGAGGAGAGTTGAAAAGCTTAATCCGGCAGGTTTTTGACAGTGTATTAGTTTGTTTAGAATAAAGGTATATGGCCCTGTGAACGGTGCGTGGGAGCTGTCTTGTTCTCTCAAGTTCGGGAATTGGAAGTATCCTTATTCCCTTCATGGCTCGGGAGTATCCAAGTCAGATAGCCTCTGAAGTGCCCATTTATCTGTATTTTTAGGACCTAATGACACATGAATAGTCTGTAATATTTTGGATAAGGATTTAGGAAAGTCTAGCCCCGTTTTGAATGAACTTTCGAGCTGTATGACATGAAAAGGTTTATCTCTCAAAGCAGGGGCTTAACTCCTTCAAGGTGAGGACACCAAATTGCTGTGGTTCTGTGTTCTCAGTTGAAAGGTAGGGAAGAACATTACTTTCTGGTTTATACTGCTCTAATCTGAGATAGGATTTATTCACAATAAAGAATTGTGTTGACAGCCTGTTCACCAACATCTTCCCCACCCCTCTGCCCTGATACAGGACCTTTTGGTAAAGGGTGAGGTGATCTTATTAGAGACAGAGGCACACACACCCCATGCTGAACAATAGGAAGTGTTATAAGTTCACACCCACGCACTTCAGATAAACTGTTAACCGGAACCACTAAGCGGAAGCCTGAGCAGATTCTGTATTTCAGTAGTTTGCTTGGAGCATATCGAAGTTGGTGTCAGCCAGCCTGCTTCTTCATTCTGAGAATAAGTGGGATTTTTTTCCGTTCTTGAAGCAAGTGAAATAGAAAACACTGAACAGAAGGATGCTATGTCTAAATAACTTGTGGGTTTTCTAACTCATCTAAATAAATGCCTGAGACTAGGACATTTGTTGAATGTATGGATTATCAAAAATGTATTTTTCATTTACACCATTAGGTATTATGCAGGTTTTTAAAGAAATGACCCATGAAATCCTTGTGCTGTGTTGCAGAGCTGTACCATCTTACCATACTCTAGCTTCTTACTAACTGAGATAAGATGTACAGTGATTTCCACAGATGCGGAGTCTACCATGCAACCAACCAATGCTGTCTCTTAACAAAATTATATTGTCATTTATCATGGTGGAAGGAAAGATCCTGACCAGTTCTTCATGTTGCAGAAATTAAAGGAGCAACTAAATACAACCCATAGTAAGAAGTTATAGTGTAATTACTAGTGGGTTTGGCAGAATATAAGAAATGCATCCTCCAGAAGATCGGTAAAGTCAGATGGTGGCAGGTGAGACCCGTATTCTACTTTAAAGATTTGAAAGAGAGCCGATTTCCATGAGGCTGTACTAGAATAAAGCAACCCAGTGTTTTAATTTTGGATGCAGCAGCAGAATTGCACAGTCAGTGGGAAGCACAAGATGAACACGATCATAGTAGTAATGTATCAGTATTTGGTTGCTACAATGTGTTCTTTTAATTTCTCACTAAAGTTAATGACACCACCAAGAATTCTTGATGAGTAGAAGAATTAATTCAATTGCTAATTGCTGAAAACCATGAACTATGTATTGATTTTGTAGCACCATCCCATGGGAGTAACTTGATCATGATAGAGTTATTTGCAAAGTGACTGGAAGCATTCCTCATTTCTTCTCAGAATTCAACAAGAACCACAACCAGTTTAATTCACACGGACCTAAGAATAGGTCTGTCTTACCCTTGCCACTGTCACAGAGTTTATGAAGAGGGCCCAAGTACTTGCCACTAAACACCTCATGATCTCCATGTATTGAGGATGATTGGCCAAGAAAATTATCCAAATTTCCATGGTTTCACATGTCTTTTCACATTAATTATAAAAAGCCAATCTTCTTGAATTACTAATCGAAGAATATAATTTAGGACATTGCCCTCTATATAGTGAGTACTCTTTTTTTTTTTTAACCTCATTTGGTACATTCAAGCTATCTCTAATTTACCTGCGAACTTGTAAGACAAATAAATGTATATTCTAGACAGTGCTCTCTCTTTAGCTCCTTCTTTCTTCACTTTTGCCCAGAGTCAGCTAACGTAGGAAAATTGGAAGGATAGAATGGATCTGAGGCATTAAAACCGAAATCAAGTAGTGTCTGTCATTCAGACTCCAGATTTGCTATCTTGACTAATCATGTCAATATTCCATCTCAGATAACTAAATCCATCTTAGGTTAGTTGGCTTTTTAGCTGTAATGATGTGAAAGGAAGGAATAATTTTTCTATGGCCACTACAACTTTTGAAACATGGAATTTCTGAATATTTCTATATCTATTAGTATTACTAATACTGGAGATAATGCAGTATTATTTGAAAAGGGGTGAATGGTTTGTTTGCCAGAATTGGTTGTGGTTCAGAGTTAGTGTTCTTGTTCTTTTTCTATAGTTGTATACTGTAGTAATGTAGAAAGGAATTATCCCCAAGGAATTTTAACCTCAATAAAGGATTAATGTGGGAATCCTATTCACCTCATGTTTATTCTCTACCATCCCAACACAAAAGTAGTAGAGTATAATTTACGCAATTGCATCTGATCAGTAGTTGATCTGATTTGTTGGTTTGTTTCTGATCCGAAAGAGTTGGAAAAATAAAACTACAAGTAATCATTTATCTAAACATTTACCTGCTAAATGTACTTACCATTTAAGTCTTAGACTTTTGCCTGCATTAAGTGCTAAGGAACCCAGCGCATTCTTACATATAGATAGGAGAGAGCATAAAGCAACTTCTGTTACTGACATTTATTTATGAAGCCTTCCCCTTTAAATATGGAAGAATGTGAGATTTCTATGTCAGTGCTGTTGTTATTAAATACTCATCTGTATTGGCTTTTTCAGCAAGTATTCCTCCTGAGTGGTTCTTTTTTTTTTTTTTTTTTTTTTTTTTGAGACGGAGTCTTGCTCTGTCACCCAGGCTGGAGTACAGTGGCGCAATCTCTGCCTCCCGGGTTCAAGTGATTCTCCTGCCTCAGCCTCCTGAGTGGCTGAGATTACAGGTGTACGCCACCACGCCTGGCTAATTTTTATGTACTTTTAGTAGAGACGGGGTTTCACCATATTGACCAGGCTGGCCTCAAACTCCTGACCTCGTGATCCACCCACCTCAGCCTCCCAAAGTGCTGGGATTACAGGTGTGAGCCACTGCACCCGGCCTTCCTGAATGTTTCTTTACTCACTCATATTATCATTTAGAACAGGGATCACAAACTACAGCCTAAGGACCAAATTCAGACAACCACCTGTTTTGGCAAATAAAGTTTTATTTATGCTATTTTGTTTTCATATTGTCTGTGGCTACTTTTGAACTACAACAGCTGAGGTGAGTAGTTGGAACAGAAAACATATGGCCTGTGAAACCTAAAATGTTTACTATCTGGCAGTTTACAGAGAAAGTTTGTCTAATCCTCATCTAGAATAATAAGATAAAACTACATGATTACAGATGAGTTACAAAGATCTAATTATCTATTAATCTGAGCTTGGTTCCTGGAATCATTAGCCATACTTTTTTTTTTCAACAAATACTTATTGAATGGTTACTATATGCCTGGTTCAAGAGATATAATATAGCGGGGAACCAAACAGTCTGAATTTTCTGTCTGTATGGAATGTACATTGTAGTCAGTTGAGACAATGAACGGAATTAAATTAAGAACTATGGAAAGTGTTAATACTGTGTCCAGTTGTAAAAAATCGTAGAACGTGGCACTTGTTAGTACTGACTGCCCCACCATCTTGTTCTATGAAGTATGCTGAGCTATAATATATTCATGTCTCAGTCCATCCACTGTACATTATACATTACTGGATGTGTGCTAATTTACCAAAATACACATATTAGCCTCTTTTTCCCAATTGTGTTATATACTAAAATCCCAGAGTTATGTTACTTGAATATTTAATTTGGTACTTATCTTGATTTAGTTCTTAAAAGCTATTTTTAATTGGATAAAATTCTCCCAAAACTTCTCCTAGTGTAAGATTCTAAAGAAAATATTAGCAAACAGAATCCAACAGTACATTAAGAAAATAATGTATCATAAGTGGCATTTATTCCAGAAATGCAAAGTTGGTTCAATATTAACAACTTTTTTTTTTTTTTTTTTTTTTGAGACAGAGGCTTGCTCTGTTGCCCAGGCTGGAGGGCAGTAATGTGATCTCGGCTCACTGCAACGTCCACTTCCCAGGTTCAAGTGATTCTCCCGCCTCAGCCTCCTGAGTAGCTGGGATTACAGGCACCTGCCACCATGCCCGGCTAATTTTTTGTATTTTTAGTAGAGACAGGGTTTCACCATGTTGGCCAGGCTGGTCTCGAACTCCTGACCTCGTGATCCACCCGCCTTGGCCTCCCAAAGTGCTGGGATTATAGGCGTAAGCCACCACGCCCGGCCTAACAACTCTGTTATTAATATATACCATAAACATACATCTGGTGGGGGGAAATCCTCTCTGTAACAAAACTCAACACCCAGTTATGATAAAAACACTCAAGGAAGTAGCAATGGAGAGATACAATCTCAACATGGTAAAATGTATATGCTTTAGTTTCACTTATGGACTAGGGAAGCTCTAGAGGCATTTCCACTAAGATCACAAATGAGGCAAGGATCATCACTATCTTCACTACTGTTCAGTAATGTACTACAGATATTAGCCAATGTAGTTAGGCAAGAGAACTCAATTAAAGGCATAAGGATGAGTGTAGGAGAAATAAAACTGTCTATTTACGGATGATATAATAGTAAGCCTGGAAAACCCCGGAGAATCAATGACAAATTAGCAGTGGAAGAATTCATTTAATGCGGTAGTGAGACATAAAATTAACATACAAAAAGCAGTAGTCTTTCTATACACAAACAATAAACAGTTAAAAGACATATAATGGTGAAGAGAATCCCATTTACAGTAGCAACAAGGAAGACTACGTGCTTAGGAATAAACTTAACATAAAATATACAAACCCTCTAGGTACCTGAAAGAAACTAAAGAAGACTTAAGCAAATGAAAGATGTCTCTTGTTCTTGGGTGGGATGAACTCAGCAGTCATGAGTTCTCCTTGACTGATTATTTCAGTCCAATTGCTGTGAAAATATTAGTGAGCTATTTTATATGGTTGGACAGGTTGATACTAAAGTTCATATAGAAAAACATGCAAGAAAACTTAGAAAACACTGAAAAAGAAAAGGTGAGGAGCACTATTCTTACTGGACACTAAAACATGGTATAAAAATACTGGAACTGAAAATAGTGTGTGCTAGCCAGTGGAACAGAAGAGGAAGTCCAGAGTTAGACCAAATACATGTGAACATGTATTAAATGACAAAGATGATATTTCAAGTCACTGGGCTAAGAATGGATTTTTAAATAAATTGTGTTGGAATACTTGGGGAGCCACGTGCAAAGAGATTAAGTTAGATCCATCCTCACATCAAATAAACTCAAGGGAGATGGAAAAAAAACATGTATGTACTCGAAGAAAACTAGGGTGAATTCCTCTTTAACCTTGGTGTAGAGAGAATAGCTTCCTAACTGTGACTCAGAATCCAGAGGCAATAAAAATAAAGACTGATAAATTTGACAACATTAAAAAAAATTTCCGCTACAAAAGACACCGTAAGCAAAACTAAAAGACAACTGACAAACTAGGAGAAGATATTCACAATATATACCACAGACAAAGGGCTAATATCTCTAATATATGAAGAACCCTTAAAAATTCCAGGGCAAAGGATTAAGAACGTAAGCAGAAAAATAGGAGAAAGACTTGAACAAACAATTCACAAGGAAAGATATTAAAATGGCCCTAAAATCTGAAAAAGTAGTCAAACTCATTCAGAATCAGTAAGACTGGTAATTTTTTATTTTTAATTTTTTTTGAGATGGAGTCTTGCTCTGTCGCCCAGGCTGGAGTGCAGTGGTGCAATCTCGGCTCACTGCAACCTCCGCCTCCCGGGTTCAAGCGATTCTCCTGCCTCAGCCTCCCCAGTAGCTGTGGTTACAGGCACGCATCACCATACCTGGCTAATTTTTGTATTTTTAATAGAGACGGGGTTTCACCATGTTGGTCAGGCTGGTCTTGAACTCCTGACTTCATGATCCGCCCGCCTCAGCCTCCCAAAGTGCTGGGATTACAGGGGTGAACCATCGTACCTGGCCAAGACTGGTAAAATTTTTTTAAACAGCAATACATTCTATTAGTGAGGTTATGGAGAGACAGGCCTTTCAAACATTGCTTGTAGCAATGTAAATTGGTACAAAGTTTCTAGAAGGAAATTTGGAATTGTGTAACCTTTAGACCCAACAATCCCACTTCAGGGAATTTTCCCTGAACATAGACCCCAGCAATACAAAAATACATCCACAAAAGACTGGAAACTGTCTAAATGCCCATACACAGGAGAGTGTTGAGTAAACTATGGAGCACTCACATAAAGGGGTGCTGGGGAGCCCAGGACAGTGTGTCCAGGACAGCGTGAAAAAAAGGAAAGCCCAAAGGGTGTGCCACAAACTTACCAGCTTAAAACAAGGCACATTCATTATCTCTGTTCCCCTGGCAGAGAGTTCAGGCACCTCTTAGCTGCTCAGGACTTACAAGGCTGCAGTCAAGATGTTGGGCAGCCTGCATCCTCATCTGGAGGCTCGACTAGGGAACAATCTACTTCCAGTTTCATTCGGATTGTGGCAGCTTCATCTCCTAGCAGTTGCTGGAGTGAGGTCCTGAGATTCTGGAGGCCTCTCGTTCTTGCCTTAGTCTCAGTTCACATCAGAGAAGCCTATTTCCTAGAAGGCCTGAACCCTGTTGAAATGTCAGGCCCATACAGGATCATCTCTCTCCATTTTGATTATTTCAGAGTCAGCTGATTAGGGAGTTTAATTATATCTGCAAAATCCTTTCACATTTGCCATCTGACATAGTTGCAGGAGTGACAGCCCATCACTTTCTTCACATTCTTTGGATAGAATTACAGGTTCTGCTCAGTGGAGAGGAGGGGATTACTCACCGGTGTTACTCATTGGAGGTTACTCGAGGGTGTGTCTGCCACAGTGAGTGAAGAGAAATAGTCTAATAAATAAAAAACCAAGTGAGGAAGAAGATGGCTCTTCTCACAATGGAATTCCAGTAACTAAATGTGGAAGAAAAAGGGGAAATATAGAATCACCGTTAGCCGATACCACTGTAATAAATGTAAACAAGATCTTCTAAAGGATCCAGAAATTCGTGAGTGCAGGTTTGAGGAGGCATAGGATTTGCATAGTCTCAAATATCTTCCAAAAAATACTTAACCAACTACAATGGGAAAATAGATTGTACTGAGAAGGGTATGACATTTTTGTGGTACACTTCCCCAAATTCATAACCTCATTTTAGGGATAAAAAATATAATCAGAGCAAATAAAATTTGGCAACATTCTACAAAATAACTGAACAGTACTGTTCAAAGGTGTCAAGGTCACAAAATAGAAGGAAAGACTAAAGTACCTACCAGCTGGAGGAGGCTAAGGGAAAGTCACTAAATGAAATGTGGGATGATCCCAGAAAAAAGACATGACGCGGAAAAATGGGTGTAATTCAAATGAGGTCTTTAGGTAAGCTTCTCTTCTCGGTAATTGTATTATGGTTATATAAGATGTTAACATTGGAGGAGGTGGGCTAAAGGATATAAGGGAACTCCTTGCACTATTTTTACAAGTTTTCTGTAAGTCTAAAATTAATTAAAAATAAAAATACGTTTTTAAGAAAATGATAGCATAGACTTAGGCTGATAATTTTATTTCAGTAAAAGTAGAAATGCAGGTGACAGTTCTGCACCTAAATTGTGCACGTGGCTGTGTGTGTTATCATTGGAGAATACAGAAGTGTGCAATGATGGAACTTACTCTAATTCATAGTATAGTGTTTTCCAGTTGTATTTTTTTCCATTATGCTTACATCATAATAGACATTGCTGAGGAAAGAACACGGGGGCTCTCTTTATTTATTTTTTTAAGCTATTTTAATGTTAAAGTGCCTTCATAAAGTGGGTTGGTTCACTGTGCCCAGCAGTATGCGCTTTAAAAATTATTACCACACTTTGTTTAAGAGGTTTTACTTGTGACCAACACATGTCATATAAAAATCTGTAATTTTGAAGGTGTTTATTGAATTCGGTTGGTTCGGAGGGCTCTGAATTTTCTTCTTTACATGGGCCAAGGACACAAATGAGTCTTCTGTTATCACTTTCTCAAATGCATTTTCTGAGTCATCATCTGCTGTGACGATGTTTAAACTATGCCTGTGGAAGATCAAGTTGTTTCTTAGTTACTGTAGTTACTGAATCATAGTAACTATGACTTAGTAGTTATGAAACTATGGTAGAAAGATAGGGAGTAAAGGAAAATGAATAAGATGGTTTGGGTGGATCTGTATCATGATAAAGCTCTTGTATCTTTAACAGAATGAATTTGGTATGTGAATATTCTCATTGCTTTAAAGAGACATCTGTCTTAGAATTGTGCCACACAACCAGAAGTGCTGCTTGGCTGTGGCGGTATTTTATGAATCATGGGATGCATTACTTACAGCCTTTTTTATTTCTACTTGAAATATTGTGCATAAGAGCAGTGCCTCGGGCGTGCACTGTCTAAGCCACGGTGCCCTGTGTTCACATAGAATTACTGTTTGTTTTTACTGTCATGAGTCTATGAATCCAGCCTGTCATGCAGAAGTGATCCTGATAATGTAAGCACTTACTGTCTTGCTGCAGCTGATTCCCCAGTGACATTTTAAAAAGTCAGTATTTGGCTGCAGAGTGCTTTAAATTTCTAAATGGACTATAGATTGGAGGCCTTAGGGTATTTCATAGGAAGCACATGACCCTGCAGTGAGCACACAGCAACTTTTGTAGATCTGTAGCCAAGTCGGTGACCAGTATTTACCCTTGAAATTGTTTTGGTTCAGAATGTTAGGTGTTTTTTACTTTACATTTAATTATTTGGTACTAGTACTAATTTACTACAAATGTCTGAAACCAAATGGATACTTAACGAAGTCTATGCTGTTTGTCCAGGTCTTTTATCCCGACTAGTTATGGTTCTAATGTAAAAAGCAGCTTCTAGTGGTGACACAGTGCATATTTCTCAGTGTCTATAAATTCAGGTCTTTGGTTTTCACTTAATCTGAAAATGAGAGTGGCAGTTACACACTCAGGAACACTCAGAAATACATAAACAAGTTTTGCATTCTTCTCTAAACAAAGCCTAAACCCCTGAAAACAATTGTTTTATAGTAATATTTTAACAGCTATTTATACGTGTTATCTAAACTGAAAATCATATTCCTGATCCTCTGACTGCCACAGATACCCCGTGATTAGACTTAGTAAGGAGTGACCGTCCTGAGAGATTCTGGGACCGTGTCCTGCCTGGCCACATGGGTAACAGACCCATCTTGTAGAACCACAAGAGGGTTGGTTGTTGTACATCGTCAAATACCAGGCTTTGTGCTGAATGTGCCCTGACCTTCACGGGGGGCGAATTGGTGATGATCTTTAGGACACTAATTTTTTTCTTTATTATTTGTAATTCTTTTGAGCAATATGCCTGACTATGAAGCAGTGGGTCTGACGGAGTCAGAGCGGTTAGCCTGATCCAGCCGGGGTCCCAGGACCACCGCCCCAGAGGACTATGCAATGTTCTTTATGTGTGTGTGTGAGTGTATTTGTGTTTCCAATTTATTGAAGCAAAGAGGGAGGGTAGAAGATAAAATAGCATGGTCCTCATGTCACGAGAGCTAGTTAGTGCCTTGAGGACTGTGCTAAATTCAGCTGCTTTTTAAATTCCGTTACATTTTTAGTCTTAGAAATGCATTTAAACCTCTCAGCCAAAAAGTGAGTTGAGATCATCAGCTACCTCTGATGATTTTTAAATTTCAAAATCTCATCTCCTGCCTTCACATGACTCATTATCTCTCTTTTATCAGTATAGTAAGAAGTATCTTCCTTTAAATAATATTCTCAGATTATGACTTATTAAGTATTTGCTATGTTCAGAGAGGGATTGAAGGAATACAGATAAGATTCCTGTCTTAAGGAGTTTACATTATATTTGGAAAAGACAAACTGAGCATACACTTAAAACTGGAAATTAAATAGATGCTATTGCTGTATTAGCAATAAAGATCAAAAGAGATGCAGAATAATAGTCCCTTCTTTAGTGATCATGTATACTGCATTTTATAGTAGTATGTTTTTTGTTTCTTAATGGAGGTCTTCTAAGTTTATGTTAAATCTCTGACTGACTAATGATGAAGATGTTTTAGAAGTCTATTGATATTACTGTACTGATTGGATATTACCATGAGTAATTGTTGGCCACTCTGCATGCCTGCCCACCTGGAGACTCACGTAAGAGTCAGGAGGATGAGTTTGGCCCAGCTCTCCTACGTTTTCTTAAATGCATTGCAGAAGTGTGTGTCAAGAAATTTCAGCTACAGATTGATTCATATATGAGTTTAGGAACTCATTCAGTAACAACTTTTCAGCAAGTGTTTAGCTAAATATGTTTATTCATGTTTCCTCTTTGTTTCCCAGGGAAAAGATGAACTATTACACTCTGAGCTATGTCTTTTTTTAATGGGGCTATACCTTTTGTGATCATAAAAATTAAATGTGGCTGTGTCTTGGTTTTGCATGACTGCATTATTAATGCAAAGGGTTCCCCCATCTCCACTTTCCCTCCTGTGTTTTACAGGTAGTCAGATGCCTCCGCAGCCACCCGGGAGCCAGTCAGAATCCAGTTCCCATCCCGCCTTGAGCCAGTCACCAATGCCACAGGAAAGAGGTTCGTCTCCAGTTCATGTCTTACATGCCTATAGTGCTTTCAGGCGATAAGGCGTACGTGAGTTTGCTTACCTATGCACCTCCTTATCATTAATTTTTTTAAAGGATATTATGTTTTCTTATCAGACGGAAGAAATAAAAGCCCTTCCAACAAATATGGAGAGGAGGGAGGATGCTTTCTTGTAGGTTGGGTGAAGTGTGGTCAAAGTACAGTTCAAGGCCCAAAGAATGTGTGTGTCCACATAGCACCATGAAGCATGGTTCACATATGACTGTAGTCTGGTATTTGGTCTAGCTGTGTAAAAATAACTGTGAATGACTCAACTAGGGTATCAGTCCCAATGTGTGTGTGTGGCGGTTGGCGGTGGGGGGTTGTGTGTGTTAATACTGGTTATTCCCTGATATTTAATAGTAAGATTTTAAACCCAGAGCAAGACCCTGTCTTAATAAATGGTAAGATCTTAGAACTGGAGCAGACCTAAAAGTTTCTATGGCCCAGTCACCTAAAGCAACTGGGGAGTGTAGCGGTTAGGTGTGACTTCCCTTATTCTCAGGAGCTAGTTAGTGCCAGTCCCAGAAAAAAAGAATATGGGCTTTTCCAGAAACCTTTGGAGAGAAGTGGCCCCACATCTGCCAGTGCTCTTGACCTTTAGCTCAGTCCTGCCTGTCATCCCTGCCGTGCATTTCTTAACTGCCTTGCAGAGACCTTAAGCCCACCCATATTTACCTCTGTCTTCATTATCCCTTGGAGTAGGAAAGCTACTCTTGGTGGTGGTGGTGGTTTTAATCCAGATTGGTGTATTCTGGAGGTACAAGAAGCCTACCTGTGCACCCCTGGTGCGGTGGCAGGTCACTTCCCTTGCTGTGGGGCAAGGCTTGTCTGCTCCATCCCACAACAAACGAGAGAGATACCGCTGTCCTGCACTCCCCTCCTCTCTCACACAGGCCCAGAGGCCAGAAGTTCCTACCTTGGCAGCTAATATGTACTGGGCTCCTGACCCCTACTGTTTATAATTATTTGTATATGAGTTGTAGAGATGATGATTTGCTTCTGATTAGAATTATGAGGTTTAAGTTATTTTACATGTTACAAACTCAGCAACATGTTTAGAAACTAATGTCAATGAAAAGATAGATTTGCTTTCTCTACATATCATTTGTGTTGAATGTTTCAGAGGGATAAAATGAATTTTTCATTTTCTAATACCATTACATATATATATTATAATTTAAGGTATAGTCGATAATATAATGTTTTAATAATGGAATAGTTCATGGTTTTTAAACTTCACAGTGTGTGAGAATCACCTGGAGGACTTGTTAAAAGAGATTCCTGGGCCCCACCCCCAAGTTTCCAATTCAGAAGGTTTGAATTGGGACGTTTTAAACCTCCATTTTTGGCAAGTTCTCAGATACTGCTGATGCCAGTGGTTTGAGGACCATACCTTGAGAACCACTGCCTTCTAATAGTACAATAATAGGTTTTTGAGGTGGGAGAATCACCTGAGCCCATGGAGGTCGAGGTTGCAATGAGCTGTGATCACACCACTGCACTCCACCCTGAGCAACAGAGAGTGAGACCCTGTCTCAAAAAAATAAAAATAGATTTTAATAATTGTGTGAATATGTGGATTTGTTTCCCTAAATTCTCTACTGTGACCTGCTCCAAATCATCCTTTTATCCCATATCATCTCTCTAAATTGCTTGATCTGTGTTAACTCCTCATATGGCTCTGGTCATCTTGAAGGCATTATAGAAGTTTATAGTGTACTGGTGCCAAGCAAGCGTGATTCTTACTAAAATCCTTTTTTGGTTGTGAGTTGCACCTGTGTTGTATTGTTGGGTCACTGTGGGGAAAAAGGAAATTGTCTTGCACTGGGTGCCTACTCGGGTCAGGCAGAGAACTGAGATGAAGATTCACCCCATAACCCTGTAACATCACTCTCACTGGTACAGTTCTTTTTATTTTAACAAGTGTTAAAGGGTAAAAGTTCCCTTATTTGAAAGTCTTAAAATTTTAACCTTTATTACTAAGAAGAAAACAAAGAGAAACCCTCTCAGATCCTTGAACAATGTCTTTCCCAGCCCTTTCCAACAGATACGTGTTTGGGAAATTGGGCAATGTAGAAAACCAGATGTGAAGAACAGGACAACAATTAGGAAACTTAGCTAAATCAAACTTTTAACTTAAATTGATCCACTTTCAAGGCAAAATCTAGGCTCTTTAGTGGTACCACTGTATGGAAATTACCATGTTAATATGATTATTGTTTTTCCTTCGATTGCCTTTATTATATGTAGTGTAGTTTGGGTAACTGATACCAGGTACATAACAAGCTGGGTGGTTATAATGACCACTTCTTTTTTTTTTTTTTTGGAGATGGAGTTTCACTCTTGTTGCCCAGGCTGGAGTGCAATGGCACGATCTCAGCTCACTGCAACCTCTGCCTCCTGGGTTCAAGCGATTCTTCTGCCTCAGCCTCCCAAGTAGCTGAGATTACAGGCATGTGCCACCATGCCCGGCTAATTTTGTGTTTTTGGTAGAGATGAGATTTCTCCATGTTGGTCAGGCTGGTCTCCAACTCCCGACCTCAGGTGATGTACCTGCCTAGGCCTCTCAAAGTGCTGGGATTACAGGCATGAGCCACCGCACCCGGCCATGACCATTTCTTTCAAATAGTAAATATAAATTATATAAGTTGCTAAATGTGAATTGATTTTTATGAATGTGATCTCTAAACCTCCTCTGAAAGACTGTGAGAGACATTATTATATTGTTATAGTTTGTTTTCACACTGCTATAAAGAACTACTGGAGACTGGATCATTTATGAAGAAAAGAGATTTAACTGACTCATAGTCCTGCAGGCTGTGCAGCAGGCATGGCTGGGGAGGCCTCTGGAAACTTCCAGTCATGATGGAAGGTGAAGGCAAATTTAGCACATCTTACATGGCAGGAGCAAGAGGAAGAGAGCGAAAGGGGAGGTGCTACAAACTTTTAAACAACCATATCTCGTGAGTTCTCATGAGGTAGCACTAGGGGGACGGTGCTAAACCGCTAGAAACCACCCCCATGATCCAATAACCTCCCACCAGGCCCCACCTCCAACATTTGGGTGGGGACACAGTTCAACATGAGATTTGGGTGGGGACACAAAGCCAAGCTATATCACTGTACATTCCCTTTTGTGTGTGTGTGTTGGTTAGGCAACACCCTGAAAAGGAAAACTTTCTATTTTAAAATGACTGTTACGTTAGAAGATGCTTTGCCTTGCATGAGTGAAATTTCCTCCAGCACTGGGTAGCAAGGCTTTAAAGAAAATGGCTTTATTATTTATTAAAACTTAGGAAGAAATGTTAGCTCCTAATAACCTTTGATCAAATGCCACCTGATCAGGTGTCTAAATGACAGTGACTTTAGTGCTTTGGCACAATAATAGAAACATCTGTTTGTTGGACCATCATTTGGTATGTACCAGCAGCATACACAATGGAAAGCAGATCTAAGAAAACTCTTACTAGGAAATTCCCCAAAATTCATTCCCCCATATTGGAAAGTAACTTAACTTTGTTTATACTCTTACGGTTGATATATACCTACCTTGTTTAGGGAAGTGCTGAAAGAAACAGGCCAAGAAATACATTAGTGAGTTAGTATCTTTTTTTAAAACGAGTATATCAGACTGGGCACGGTGGCTCACACCTGTAATCCCAGTATTTGGGAGGTTGAGGCGGGTGGATCACTTGAGGTCAGGAGTTCGAGTCCAGCCTTACCAACATGGTGAAACCCCGTCTCCACTAAAAACACAAAACATTAACCAGGCATGGTGGTGTGTGCCTGTAGTCCCAGCTACTCAGGAGGCTGAGGCAGGAGAATCGCTTGAACCAGGGAGGCGGACGTTGCCGTGAGCTGAGATCACGCCACTGCACTCCAGCCTGGGCGACAGAGCGACACTCCGTCTCAAAAAAAAAAAAAAAAAAAAAAAAAAAAGGTATATCATGGAAACCATAGACCCTGATAGAAAAGGTAATGACATTGCTTCTGTACTGCTGAGTGCTGAAATAACCACATTGAACAGTTCTGTTTACACTTAGTTTGTTTTAATAAATAAGATTCTGATAATATAGTAATAGTCCACCATATACGTACTTTCTTTAATGTACCCACAGGAGATAACATTTTCTTTAATGGCACGGAATCTAGAAACACATTTGCACAGAGACAAGAGATGATGGAGAGTGAGAGATGATGCAACCTACTTCTCTCTAGAGGTGCAGTTTTCTGAGTTCTCCCTCCAAGTCCTCATGGGGCAGTGATGCTGGCAACACTGCCTTGGAGCCTAAGTCCCCCCAGTTTCAAGTAGCTGAACCCTTGCTCTGATCTTTCTTTTCTACTTGGTCCTGTGTTCCCGTTCAGGAAGAGCATATGTTAATAAACCATGTACCCTGTGTGTCAGAGGTTCTGCAAACCTCTGGTGACAGCAAGGTCAGTGAAGTGCCCAGCTTTCCTGACAGCAGTCCTTTGTAAACCTGCAGTCCCCGTCCCCACCCCATCTCTTTTTCGGTGCCCATTTTATCTGGTGGTTTTGGTATTGAGTTTTGTCACAGGACATCAGTCACAAATCCATTTCCCCACATTGTACACAGATGAAAATAACTGTGAGTTTCTACAGTTGATATTTTCTATGTATAGAAGGTATTTGTGCAAGTAAATATGGATATGGCATCATAGGTTACAAATGGAGGGAAAACTTTAGATATTTATTGGGCTCTCTACTCTCTTACATAGTATTGCCTCCTCTACATCTTCTGTTTTCCAGTATAAAACTTGATTTAGTATTGTGCTGCTGGAAGTTTTCTTTGTTTGTTTGTTTTGTTTGTTTTGAGACAGAGTCTTGCTCTGTGACCCAGGCTGGAGTGCAGTGGCGCAATCTCAGCTCACTGTGAGCTCCGCCTTCCGGGTTCACGCCATTCTCCTGCCTCAGCCTCCCGAGTAGCTGGGACTACAGGTGCCCGCCACCACGCCCGGCTAATTTTTTTGTATTTTTATTAGAGATGGGGTTTCACCATGTTAGCCAGGATGGTCTCGATCTCCTGACCTCGTGATCCGCCTGCCTCTGCCTCCCAAAGTGCTGGGATTGCAGGTGTGAGCCACCGCACCCAGCGGAACTTCTTTTTAACTAAATAAAGAAAATTAGTTCAGATTTTTTGGCCTTTACTTCTTCATTATGTACATGAATTTTAAAGAAAAACAGTAAAAACCTCAGTTTAGTATTCTGTTGTAACACATTTGCCATTGGTTTTTATTTTAAACCTCTCTGTAGACCTCATATGGCAATATACAGAAATGTTACTAAATCACCTTGCCAAAAAATCAAGCAGTGTAAATTAGGCCACCAAAGGCATTGGAGGAACAGTTCAGATAACCTTAAAATACTGAAATGAATCTTACAAAAATTGTAGGTGACCAGTTCACATTTGTTTTATCCTTATTTCTTAATCTTTATATGTCTTGAAATTCAAAAAGAAAAATAGGAAACGGCTTATTAATAGGTTGTCCTCTTAGGAAGTCTTGGAGGAAATACGGAATAGTCATCTGAGTAGATAAATAAGTATAATAATTATTAACATTAAAGTTACCACATTTTTAACCCCAGTGACACGTTAAGCTTAATGAAACTAACAAATGCCCTTCTAGTTTATTGGATTAGCAATTAGGTGAAAATGCTGAAAGAAAGCTTATTTATTTGGACAGATGTAGAGAGGTCAAAATTAATTTTTCGAAAACCTTCTAATTGAATTCCCTTTTAATTTCACAGTGGTGTCTAGTTAAACATTCATGTTAATGCCGGTGATTTTCTGAAGGTCTGAACTAGATCTGGATTCCCAAAATCAACACAGGTTATTTAACCCTTTTTATCTAGTAAGCCAGCAGGGACTTTCCTAGTGTAATCCCATAGTATTTGAATAATTAGAAGGTCATAATGAGGATTTAATTAGTCCTTGAGATATGCTGAAGCAGAACCCCTAGGAACTTCCCCTTTCGGACACAGATGCAAGCAGAATGGATGCTGCTCCAGGACTGTGAGCCACGAGGAAATGTATTCTGTTGCTGGAGGCAGTTCTCTGGCACCATTGTGTGGCCATCAGATCGGTGCTGAAAGCATCTTAGGTGAAATCTTCCAGAATTACTGAATAACAGTCCCCCCAACCTTCATTTCTGCCCACTTTCCAACCTACACAAGGACTGGCTTTTCCTCTCCACTGTTGAAAAAGAGGAGTTGTAGTCAAAGCACGCTGTACCTGATTGAAAATTGGCTTTTGCTTTATCAGCGACACCAACATTAGGTGAGCTGGGCGAGTTGTGTATTTTCTCTATAGTTCTATAGAGAAAATAGATAACAAAATTTTGTGTTGTTCTAAGCCTCTGGTATTTTGTCCAGCCAAACATAGAGATCTTGACAGCTGTTTGTCAGCAGAATCACAAAAATCTCATCTTTGGAATCTGATGTTCACAGAGGAATATTTATCAGTAGCTACATTTTTGCAAATACAGACAGTGCCATTACCCAGCAAAGTGTGTAGCAGATGGGGCATGATCAGGCATTTCAAGGTTCTTTTTGCGTACTACTACAAAAAGGTGAATCAAAATTTCTATACTTCAAAAGTCTGAGGTTTCAAAATTACATATTTTGTTTAGACTGAATAGTCTTCATTATTGAATATTTCATTATTCAATATGTCTTCATTTTTTATATGCTGCTTCTGTTATTAACCCCGAATGTTAACTGCCTTGGTATAATTTTATTCCTACTAATTAATGGTATATTTTAGCTTCTTTACAAAGTCTGAGTAGAATTCCTTATCAGATTTCGAGTCACATTCTATTTGCATAGTGCACACCTTTTGGCTGCGGGCACATCTTTCTCTTACCTTTTCCTGCAATCAGGGGAAAAAGAATGAATTCAGTGTCTTCCTATGAGTTCAACTGAGCTTCCCCAGGGCCTGCATGGCCCTCGGTGTTCATCCCCTGCCAGGGACCCCCATGTCGGCAGCAGGCTGGGGCTTCACAGATGCTCAGCAGAGACTGAGCCAAACAACTAAAGCCATCCAGCTCTCACACCCTGTCAAAGCACAAGACAACCGAACTAGAAAATCTTTATTGTTTGGAATTAAGAAAGCTTACAATTTTACCAATAAATACTGTATGTCATTTGCTGTAACACAGTGTTTGTCCCTCTGAACTCACTGTTAGTATTTTGAGCTTACACAAGATTAAAGCTACTGCTGCTGCTCCCCCCTGCCTCTGTTCTTCCCAGATGCATTTCCATGACTGCACAGCTGTACTTACAGTGGGTGTCAGTATGAGCCATAGCCCTTGCACCTGGAGCCTGGCACTAAATGGATTGTGCTGAGTCCCCTCCCCAACCCCAGCCGTGCTCTTTATGACCCAGGGGCATTTAGATAGAAATATGTAAAATTTTGAAAGTTTTTTACTGTTGTCAGCTAGTTTTATGGTGATATTTATACCAAAAGTTATTTTTTAAATGTGAAAATTACTCTTGAATATCTGAATTGACCTAATTCCTTAATATTCAAGAATAGATTAACAAGTCAGTACTGAAATGAAGGAGACCACCCGGATAATTGTTAAGGAGTTGGAAGTGGGGTTTGATACTTTTTTCTGTTTTGCAACCTACGGAAACCGTGTTGTTCTTCTTTCTATTGGATTCCCGGTTGTAAGTGTGACAGTAGATCTGCAGATGCTGAGATGTATCATAAGATATACTGGTTGTCAGAAAATATTCTCTTAATCTACCTTTCTAGTTTTAAAGAGTAAGTGTATCATTTTCCTAATGTATGCTGTGTAAGTTTATAGATCACCCCGGTAGGGCATCAGCAATAATCTACCCTCACCCCCAGATGCAATTAACTTAGCCTCCACTCTTAATTGAAGATCCCTTCTTTGTGATGTGTGAAAGATGAAAATAAACTCAAATGGGAGGCTTTATACAAAAGAGAATATCTAGACACCACTCTGGAAAGCTGCTTCTAATTTCTTCAGCCTCAGAACTCTGCCTCTGTGCTAGACTGTGGACCAAGCCAAAGCTAGTCAGTAATGAAGGCAGTCATGGCACAGGACTTGTGTCAGGTTTATCATTAAGTTCCTTTTAAGCCAGCTATCCAGAAATAGGTTCATCCCAAAGCTGGGAAAACAAATGTCACACACAATAGGAGTCCATTTATATTCATTGAGGAAGCATCAGTCGAAGTTTTAGAACATTTTAAAAGAAGCATATTTTGTTACTTTTGTTATATGCAGTAATTTTTTGAATTGCCAATTAAAGTGGGCTTTTAATACTTAATACTTATTTGTAATTGGCTCATTATTCTTCATTGAAAGTATTTGAGAACATCTGGATCTTAGGTAAATTCATGGATTTATAACAACACTTTTTCCTGTTCCTTTTGTGTTTTTTCTGTCTCAGTGAAAAACCGTTGTCTTTTTCCAAAGCCAAAAATTCGGAAGCCATCCTTGATGCGTTTTTCTCCCCCGTCTGCCCCAAACTAATTAGTCACCAAGTTCCACCAACTCTTCCCCAGTAGAGGTTCCCACACACCCCTTCTCCATACCCACTATCACCACTCTAGTCCAGACACCTAGTTAACCTCACAGCCTCCTCGCTGTTCCTCCTGTCCCCAGCCTCATGCCTTTGAGATCATATTCCACCTCCTCAGACCGGTGAGAGCATGTCATTCCTCACCACCTATGCCTTTAGTCACTTGCCTGTGCCTTGGATAAAGGTGCACTGATCTGTGCGGTCAAGGGGCCTGTCCTTATCCAGCCCCGGCTTCCTTTGCTGGCCTCCCTGTCATCACACTGCTTTCTCTCTCAAACACCTGCCACACTGAACCTCTTGGGATCTTTATATAAACTCTTCTCTCCAACTGGAACACTTCTGCAGCCATCCCACCTCAGCTGCACCCCCACCACCCCTGTGGGTCTTCTTACCTGTGTACTTTGTCCTGATTCTTAAGGTCCTCAGCCTGGCTCTTAGTAGGTGCTTGAGTCAGTGTTTGTTGGGTGAACAAATGAAGGAAGCATAACCAGTCACCGTGCTGCCCCTATGGGCCAGGCACCCTCTGAAGCAGCCCAGATGTGTACAGTGTTGGTGACCCATTAACAGCTGGGATTACAGTTGATTCACAGTTGAACTCTGTTCCAGACTCCAGAACTCTGCGAGTGGAGGGACCGTGGCCTTGTCAGTTTCAGAACTCCAGGGCCTCATGTTTTACCTGCTGCTTCTCATTTTAATCTGCAGGGACTTTGGAATCAGAAGATCTGGGTTTAGGTACAAGCTTTATCACTAACTAGTTTTGTATCTTTGGACTATTTGTGAAATGAGGATCATGGATATATTGCACAATTCAAATAAGATTTTGTATCTAACAGTAAAAACTGCAAAGCACCGTGAACATAGTAAATGTAAGATCAGGTTCAGATACCTCAGGTGAGACCTGGGTCGAAAGCCTTAAAAAGTAGTTTATTTGCTTCTCCAGGGCATAGCGACGTACGTACTTTGTCTTTTTCCTCAGCACTGAAGTGGACTTTTGCAGCTAAAACTTAAAGGATTTGTGTAAGGAATGACTGGATCTTCTGTCCCCATCTGTCATCTGGGTGCTCAGTCTGACCCCTCCCCGGACTCTCATTTGCCCAGTGATAGGTGGTATAAGTTGCAGGACCAGTCAGTAGCGGAAAGGAGTTTGTGGGGTGGATGGGGACAGCTTAGAGGTTGCTGTGCCCGGCTCCAAGTATCAGGCTCTGTGGTAGTGGGGAAGGAGAGGGAGTCGTTTTGCCAGTTAACCTAATAGCACAGCTGGTGTGGCGCGGGGGGCCTGGGTTAAAGCCTTGAACGGGCCATTAGTTCCTGTCTTCTTCAAAGTAGTTCATGTTGTGAAGAGAGGAAGGCAGGCAAATAAACACTGAACATAGTTAAATGTAACGAGAATATTTTTTTAAATCTATTTTTCTCTCCAAATGGAGATGTGACACCTATTTGTGAAGAGAAATGCCTCTGCCTGTCTTTCTGGGTGGAGACACCACAAAGGTGGCGTGGTATGTAACCGTGGCACACACACATGGCAAAGCAGCTTTTATTGAACTGGCTTGAAGAGACAGATGCCAACATGAAAATCAATTGTCCATGTGCCAAATGAAAAACGTGCTTGCTTTTCGGTGGCTTCTGTTGCCTTGGACGTCTTGTTGGTATCCTGACAATGCTGTAGTTCTCTGCTAGCTGACGAGGCACCTTTGATGAAGAAATTAAATTTTTCTGTAATTGATTTTGTGCTTTCCTGCATGGGCCTGGCCACGCACGCTTTCTGTGTTTGCTGATTTCTCTTTCATGGGTAGGATGAATGGTGACTTGGGTTTCATGCTTGACTCTACTTTTTCCAACAGGATTTAAAGTTTCTAATGCTTACATTGCAGAATTTGTTGTGTCCCATGAAGAGGAAAAGAATACACGATTGGAGGCTAAACAAGATCCATGTTAAAATTCCTCCCAGTTTTATTTCCCCAAATTTCCTAGTTTTGCTTTCACTTTTTATTTGACTTTGTTTCTAACTCAGTTTTGTAACACCCTTCAAACTTAGAGATATGTTTTCATTGGATGGTACTTTAACTGGACCCATCCCTGGCGATTTTGGAGCTTTGACAACATTGCCCTGTTTAAGTTCATGGAGCTTCATCACTGTTTCCTTTATGTCGTCTACCCCCAAATATGCTTTAAGGACTAAGTTTACTTTTAAAATTAAATACAGTTTCATTCTATTTTTGAAAATTTCTAAAGTTAGGTCTCTCTCTTATCCAGGGAAGAATTTTTCTGTATTCCTACTATACAAAAATATTCATTTTTTCCTTCTTTTATATAGAAGATGTGATTTGCTTATAAGGATGTCATAAATCAGTTTCTTTAATTTTTTTTCATCTGCTAAGGTTTAGAAAGCAACATTGGATCTTTGCTGTAAAGATTATCTCTTTTACAAATAAGAGAATCATATATAGCTTTTTTTTTTTTTTTTTTGCTGAGACGGAGTTTCACTCTGTCATCCAGGCTGGAGTGCAGTGGCGCGTCTCTGCTCACTGCAACCTCCACCTCCTGGGTTCAAGCAGTTCTCCTGCCTCAGCCTCCCGAGTAGCTGGAACTATAGGCACATGTCACCACGCCCGGCTAATTTTTGTATTTTTAGTAAAGACAGTGTTTCACCATGTTGGCCAGGCTGGTCTTGAACTCCTGCAAGTGATCCACCCGCCTCAGCCTCCAAAAGTGCTGGGATTACAGGCGTGAGCCTCTGTGCCTGGCTCGCATATAGCATTTTATAAACTAGGTAAAGTCTCCGCTAACCAAACCACAGATAGGACACTGCTGCAGAACACACTGGAAAGGTCTGGAAAACTCACTTATCTAAGAATAACACAGGGACATGTTTTAGAAATGCTAGTTTGTTTACCACTGGGTCTCAAGCACCTATGACAATGACTGGCTTGTCATTAGGCCAACTAGGCCAGTTTTGCAAGAGGGCAGTGAAGGGATTTCTTGTTTTTAATTGATAGAAGAAAAATGTCTCTTGGCTTAGTCTTTAACACAGGTCTCCATAATAGAGATTGAAGTAGCGTTTTTCCTAGACTTACGCGAACACTGCTTACATTGCCATGTAACAAGAATGGATTATTGGAATAGGAATTTTTCACTGATGCTAATATTACTATTCACAAGAGAATGCCCCTAAATAAAACAGTCCTTTCAAAATGCAGACTGAATGACTCCAGGGAATATCTTGGCAGCCCACCACTACCCCTGTCTTTAGCTATTAGATATACAAAATGTGGAATTCAAACAATTATCAAATTGTATTAGAATCCATTATCTAAATTAACACCATGTAACGTTGAAATGAACTTGAGGACAAGGGATTCGCCTCTTAGCATGTGGTGGAAACGCGCTTGCCCGGGTCGGGCTCATACCCTCACACAAGCTCTGGGGCAGCAGAACCTGCCAGGGCACCATTTCCTAGGCCAGGGTCCTGCGTGCTCTAACTTACAGCTAGAAAGGGAACAGTCTTCTCTTTTTTTTTGAGACAGAGTCTCACCCTGTCCCAGGCTAGAGTACAGTGGCGTGATCTGGGCTCACTGCAACCTCTGCCTCCCAGGTTCAAGTGATTATCCTGCCTCAGCCTCCCAAGTAGCTGGGATTACAGGTGTGCACCACCACACCCAGCTAACTTTTTTGGTATTTTTAGTAGAGACCGGGTTTCACCATGTTGGCCAGGCTGGTCTTGAACTCCTGACCTCAGGTGATCCACCCGCCTCAGCCTCCCAAAGTACTGGGATTACAGGCATGAGCCACCGTGCCCGGCCAGGAATAGGTTTCTTAGTTCAGACTGGTTTTCCTTTAACCCCCACAAAAAACCTAATGGGTTGTTTCATCCATTAAGACAAATGTTTATCAAGCTACTCACTGCCATGGGTGCTTGAGATCCCATGGTAACCAGAAGTCAGGGCCCTTCTCCTCACATTGAGAGTCTATTCAGATACTCGATGGGGATTTTGAGATCTTTCTCTGTCTCTGTCTCTGTCTCTCTCTCAATCTTTCTTTCTCTCCCCCCCGCCCCCCGCCCCCCCCCCACACACACACAAGCAAACTCTGGGGAATCTGCCAGATCAGGAAGGATGTATACTGCTTCTTAGGCCGCCCAGAGCTAATCAGTACTATAGCTGTTGGTTGAGTGGCCTAAAACTGACAAGCTGAGCTTTTCTGAGCCAAATAACATGGTCGGCCAATTATTTCTGGAACCATTTATCTGGAAGGGCACAGGACTTTCTGCATAGTGAGCTAAGTGAGGCAGGATCCCCCTCAGCTCTAGCTGGCCTTGTAGAGGAGGCGTGGGACAGGCAGGCCCAGCCTGGAGCCACCACTCCCTAGGGGCAGCCTCGGAAGGCGTGCCAGGAGGCTCACAGGTGTGGCATTGCACCTCCAGAGATTAACCACCATCCAAGGACTTGCAGCATTTTCTGGCTTCACTGATGAATGGTTTGTAGGGAAACCTGGCAAGAGAAATTAGTTTGGAAACTTGGAGTCAGGAAATAAATGGTGGATTGCATTAAAAATAATATGAATAATAGTAGCTATCATTTATTAAACCTCTAGTGTGTGCAAGCACTGAGCTGTGTGCTTTACACATTTTCTCGTTTAATCTTACAAGGTAGGCTCAGTTGTCATCCACATTTTTCAGAAAAGGAAAGTGATGCTTTGCAGCTACTAACGTGCCCACAGCTGCTGAACTAGTAAGTGGTGAAGACACGATTTGGCCCAGGCAGTTGGTCTGCAGAGCCCTCACTCCTCACAGCTTCGCAGTGGCTGTGGAGATGGACAGGGTGGATGCGTCTGATAGACATTTAGGCCATGGAAATAATTGTGCTTTCTGGCCTAGTAGACTCGTTTTTCTTCCTTGCCTTGCTGTCAGCTATCAGTTGTTCCTTCTCACAACAGTCCTTTCTTGGACAGCTGTCTCCTTTTCCTCAGAAATGATTCTTTGGAAACACCGTGAGATGAAGAACGAAACAATCCAATTTATTAAGCCACTTTTGTAAAGTAAGAGCAAATGGGTCTGAATGAAGATGGTTTATTTTTCACTAAGACCACATGTTTTTGGTTCTAACTCTATGCCAGATACCTTGCTTGGGCAGATGAGAGGAGAGTGTGTTTTAAAGCCTCCAGAACTTACAGTCTGGCGAGAGAAACAGTTGCACAAAAAACAATAGCAGTATGCTAACTGCACGGCCACAGCTAACATACGTGGTGCTTTTCATGCTTATAAAAGTGACTGCTTTCCTGGAAGGGCAAGGAATGTCATGGAAGATAGCACTAACAGAGTCATACAGAACAGGTGCACATCAGCTGTATGAAGGCAAGTGGCCTTCTAGGCACACCTGTAAAAACAGCTGGAGCAAAGGACACAGCACACCATCTTGTTTTTTAAGCTATGCCTCCCATTAGTGGATCTTTCCATGATATGTAAAATATCAGAGTGCACTGTACATAATAAGGGTCAACATTGTTCTGGAAAATGTAGAGTGTATGTGAATAGTATATGTAAGTATGTAAACATATGCACATTGGATCATGACATAAAATATGTCTCTAAAGTGTGGATTGTTGAAAAAAAAAAAAGTTTGAAAGTGGCCTCACAAATCAACCTCTGTGAGCCTCACTGTCTTTAGGTTGATTTGAAGCTGAAATGGGCTAATAATGAACAAGCTGTTAGCATATAATATATGCTCATTAAAGATCAGCTGCTCATAGGCCAGGGAATGGCACCTTACCTAGAACCTGAGAATGCAGATTTGCTGAGTGACTGGATGTGCAGGGACTTGCAGGTCTGAAGCAACCCAGGGGCTACAGGGAGCTCAGAGCCTAAGTGACAGAACCAGAATGGGAGCACCTGGTGACTGCGTGTCCAGGGTAGGGCGGCAGACTCGTGTGCTGGGCTAAGTTTGGCCTTCAGCCAGTTGAGGAGTCAAGAGACAGTGAATGGTTTTTGAATGAACACAGATATCTGCGAGATGCAGAAGGCGGTTCAGTGCCCAAGTGTAGGCACCAGCCTTGGGCACAAGCAGAAGATTTTCTTCTTAGAGGAGGAAAACCAATAAGCCTCGGGCCTGGCTGGAGATGCTCAAAGCTTAGAGGGCAGGAAGTCGTCAATGCTGGCTTTTCTTGTGGTGTGGGTGGTCATTTCTTGACAGTTGGTAGCTGGGCTACAGATGGTTTGAAGAAGTTAAAATTCTAAACCAGCCAAGTAAAAGGGTACCTCAAGTGACCTCTAGACTCAGCTGAATGCAGGAACTTTAGTTTCCAAGTCCATGCCTTGGGACATCCACTTTGGATGACACCCACTGGTTGCAGTGGAGCCTCTCAGAAGCTGTCTGGCCAGATTTGCCCGGGTCTTTCCTACACGTTGTTTAGGTCTCAGCTGAAATGTGACTTCTTCGAGGAAACCTTCCACCATCCCAGTCTAAATTGGGTCTTCCCCTGATACTCTCATAGCACCTGTGCTGCTTTTATTCTCCACGTCACACACTGACTTTGAGTTATTTGTCAGATGTCTGTGTGTCCCGCTGGAATGTTAATTCCATGAGGGTAGATGTTGCCTGTGCTTGGCTCATTCATGCCCCTGGCACCTCGTGAATGACCAAGAAATGGAAGAGAAAGGAGGTGATATTTAGTTGACTAAGATGTTACTTTTCTTGTCTCATATAAAGTTATAAGTTGCTTCGTAATTTTAGTTCATTATTTTTCCCTATTGATAGGCTTTTATTTTCTGTTCAACTAAAATTTCAGTTCCTCGAGGGCAAGGATCACATCTTTTGCTTTTTAAAAAATACTCTCTTATTCCTACCACAGTTCCGAGAATGTTAGAGTAAAATAGGTGCATGCTGGTGGAAGATTTGTGTGACATTACTGTGGATTGAGTTACCAGTTTGATAGCTCAGATAGAACCCCGCGCAGTGACTAAAGGGCTCACAGAATCACTATAAAGGCAATAGTAATGCCTTTGTATAGGGTTTTCATGGTGGTTTTCAGTTTAGCAGAGCATTTGTGCATGGATTTTTCTTATTTGACTCTCAGGGTGAATGATCTTGTAAGCCAGAGCAAGATGTGCGTTCTTCACTTTACACAAAGGAGCCTGTGGACCCACACAGCGAATGGGAGACGCAGCCTCTAAACAGATCTGCTTCCAAACAAATCCATAGGGGGTGTGTTGCTCCTACTCCACTACCTTAACTTCTCTCTAAGGATTTTTCTTTTGCTTGATTTTTTTTTCCCCTAAAGGGCAGAAAGGGTAGTCTGGTTTTAACATCAGAAGGGTATCTCTGCATTTGGAATGTGGTAGTACAAGTTCGGTGACTGTATGAGCATACAGCGCAGGACTCAAAACTAGGAAATTCCCTGATCAGAACCCTGGTGCAGATTTATGTTACGGATGAATATATTAATCATATTTTCATATGAGGTTTCGAGGAAACTTTGTTTTGTATCATGTAGATAATATCTAATTTAGTGCTTTGTCTAAAGTTTGAATTTTCCCATGTTAGATATTTACTTGGGACCCTATAATTCCATAATACATTTAGTAATTCAATATACTTTCACAATATATAGGAAATTCATTTTATATTTTCTGAATTTCCCTAAATTCAGAAAGCGTGGTACTCTAAACTCAGATGGCTTATGACTAGAAAAGGTCACACCTTTTAAAGACGCAGCTGCGTTCCCTCAGCTGTCAGGCTTGCTATTCGCAAACTCTGTTACAAGACACCATCTTAGAAGAATGTTCTGAAAAAAGCAAGATGCAATCAAACAAATATGTCACCATAAATAGGAAGAAAAGTCTTAGTTGAAATCTGATTTCTTGGGAAACATTTTAAAATGTATTTCTTTCAAAAATAAAAATATAACAAAACAAGAAAAGAACTACCTTCGAAATAAATATACTTGGAAATTGCAGACTTGATTTAGATTTCTTCCTAGGAAAGAAAAACGTTTAAACCAGAATCATAGACACCTATAGCTGGAAGTGCCCCTACAACTATTGAGCGCAGGTGAGGAAACTGAGGCCAAAAAGGTGAAGTCACTGGCTAGAATCTGCACAGCAGACGTGGAGGCCAGGATGAGATCCTCGCCCAGTGCTCTCTTGGTTACCATGCTACCTGTCCTGTACCCTTGTTTGAATCTATAATAGTGACAAGAACTGGCCGGGCATGGTGCCTCACACCTGTAATCCCAGCATTTTGGGAGGCTGAGGCAGGCGGATCACAAGATCAGGAGTTTGAGACCAGCCTGGCCAATATGGTGAAATCCCGTCTCTATTAGAAATACAAAAATTACGCCTGTAATCCCAGCACTTTGGGAGGCCGAGGTGGGCGGATCACAAGGTCAGGAGATCGAGACCATCCTGGCTAATATGGTGAAACCCGGTCTCTACTAAAAATACAAAAAAAAAAATTAGCCGGGCATGGTGGCAGGCGCCTGTAATCCCAGCTACTCAGGAGGCTGAGGCAGGAGAATCGCTTGAACTCAGGAGGTGGAAGTTGCAGTGAGCCAAGATCGCGCCACTGTGCCACTACACTCCAGCCTGGGTGACAGAGTGAGACTCTGTCTCAAAAAAAAAAAAAAAAAAAAAAACAAAAATTAGCCAGGCATGGTGGTGCACACCTGTAGTCCCAGCTATTCAGGAGGCTGAGGCAGAAGAATCACTTGAACCTGGGAGGCAGAGGTTGCAGTGAGCCAAGAGTGCTCCACTGCACTCCAGCCTAGGCGACAGAGCAAGACTTCATCTCAAAAAAAAAAAAAAAAAGCTACTGCTTGTTGAAAGCTTCCTGTGAGCCAGCCCTTTTATGCATGTTTATCTCCGTTAATCCTCACTACAACCCTATGAGGTAGATATGATTGCCCCCATTTTACAGATGAGGAAACTGCTAATAGACATGCATCGTTTCTGTATTTAGGATGAATAGAAATACTTCATTTTTAGCTAACTTCTGTCTTCTAATTTTTTATCAATTTGTTTAGGAGATTATGGCAATATTCAATAACCTTTAAAAATATCCATAATGGATTACTTTTTTAGTAGGATTAGCTAGTGTTGGCATTTAATTGTGATTTTCTATTATGTGTCATGTACCTACCTCCTAACTGGTCTTCTCACGTGTAACCTTTCTCTTCCTCTTCAATCCTTTCTTCATGATGCTTATTACAGTAGGGTTAGCTTTCAAAAATGCAACAGGCATGGTGGCCCACACCTGTAGTCCCAGCTAATTGGGAGGCTGAGGTAGGAAAATCACTTGAAGCCAGGAGTTCGAGACCAGCCTAGACAACATAGAGATACCCTGTCTCAAAAAGAAAACAAATGCAAGTCAGGTCATAACACTTCCTCTTACGGCAGTATATGGTCTATGCCATTATTACACCAACTGAAAGACCAGCTTTTCACAGGACTGCAGATACAGAGGTTTGGGTGAGCCATGCAGCAATTCATCTGTTAACAGGAGCTGTACCTGCCAGATGAAATACTTCATATTCAAGAGAGAGAGCGTGACCAATAGAAAAAGAGGCAAACGATATAAACAGACATTTATAGAAAAGGAAGTAAAGACAGCTGTTTAACATGTTCACATTTACTCTTGATAACCAAAATAAAAACACAATCACAAATTATAAAATATCTCTGAAAGAATACATTGAAAAACCATTTGCCTTTGGCCAGGGGAACTCTGGCAGAAGACAGGGATGTGAGAGGTACTTCCCATAATACACCCTTTTTAACCCTTTATAATCTGTACACAGTTACCCAAGTGCTGGAGTAATGTGGATTCCAGACATTTAAATTAAAAACATGTAGAAATAAAAACTTGTTCATCCCAGCTGGAAGCTTCATCTGAATTTATAGGCTATCCAAGTGAAAAGATATTTTTGGGAGTTTATAAACCAAACATTAACATTATAATGTCTTAACTTTTTTTGTATATCACATCACAGATTATAGGACACTTTGACATATTATCTCAGTTGATCCTCACAGGATCCGGGACTGTGGCTCAGAAAGGTTATGATTTGCTTAAAGTCACACAGCAAGCTGTATTCAATACCCACTGCAGTCCATTTATTTACATATCTGTCTCCCCTACTAGATTCAGAGCTCATGACGCAAACAAGACCACAATCTACGCCTTCCATTCCCAGTCCACTGCCGTTAGATGATGCTGGCTTAGAAAGGAGTCAGGGAAATGTGTCAGCTTCCTCTTTCATGGTCTTGGGGAACAGGGAAAGGGGTGAGTCTCACCAAAAATAGAAAACAAGATTTCAGGAAGCTCTTTTAAGTGGTGCCATTGCAAAAGTAAATAATACAAAGAAAAAAATAGCTTTCAAGTTGTAATTTCTATGTAAGGAGGTAGATTCCACACCCAGTTGAACTTTGTCCCTAAGGTATGGGAAATTGATACTGTGAAGCAGCCTCATTTGAATTCGCTTTTTAATTCTACCTCCTTTTGGAAACTCCATCTCCTTTTTGCAAATGTGATTTTATGTGAAATGCCAGTGACAATTGAGATAGTTCAAGTGGAACACTACATATGTATTTTTAAGGACTGAGTAAATAGAAAAAGAAATACCTTGCCTAGGTAAGAATTCTTAGCACTCATTTGAACAAACCTTAAGCCTATAATGAGTGTCACAGAGGCCACAAAAACTTAAGAGTATCGTATACTGCTGGGCGCAGTGGTTTACACCTGTTATCCCAGCACTGTGGGAGGCTGAGGCAGACAGATCATTTGAGGTCAGGCGTTCGAGACCAGCCTGGCCAACATGGTGAAACCCCGTCTCTACTAAAAGTACAAAAATCAGCTGGGCATGATGGCATGCACCTGTAATCCTAGCTACTCAGGAGGCTGAGGCAGGAGAATCACTTGAGGTTGGGAGGTGGAGGTTGTAGTGAGATGAGATCGTGCCACTGCACTCCAGCCTGGGTGACAGAGTAAGACTCCATCTCAAAAAAAAAAAAAGAATATAGTATATTATCAGAGCTTCCAAACCCTTTGGCATGGACACCTTCATGGTTGGAGTGAAATTTAATGCTAATTAAAGGGCCTGTGTTATTTTCCTTAACTAAGGAAGAAAAAGCAATCGTTCTTTTCAAAGAAAGTAAGGGGAGACCCACATGATCTCTATGAAATTGAAACACATTTTTTTATTAAACAGGACTCTATCTGAAACACTTGAGAATTTTATAGTAAAGCTTAGATAAATATTTCATGTAACATCTTAAGATGCAATCATTCATAGTAATTTTAGTGCTCTGATTTCTGTTTGTTTTCAGATTGAATAAGCAAATGTTTTCTATGATGGTTTATATCTGGAAGCTGCCAATTGAGCCCAATTTCATAAGGCTTATCTTTATAAATAAGTTAAATAGGATAATAAGAAATAGTTCAACTTACTTTTATTTTATGTCTATCTCTTTAAACAGAAGCAATGTTAGACTATATCTCTTTTTTTAATTGAAATGTAAACTGTGGCCACCTTTGTAAATACAATATGCCATTTAACCTCCTTAAGCCAAACTTAGATCTGGGATTATCTTACCCTCCAGCTGCCTCAGTGGATTTTCTTTCGAAGCTACTGCTTTAGGTTCTCCTGAAGCAGAAACCTGCCCGTCTCCAGCTAGAGCCTTCACCTGGTAACGTGGGCCCCTCTCCCGAACATAAAACCCTGTGTTCTGAGAGTTGTTTTTCAAACTGTCCTTTGTTAGTGTGCTAGATGGATAATGTCAGCTTTTTCTCAAATCTATCTTGATTTGGGGTCCTCTTTGTCCTAATGAGTATTTCACAGCTCCATCTATGAACTCGCTTCCATTTGCCTGGACTCCTGAGAGTGGAGGTACCTGGCCTTCCAGTGATGCATAAAGATGTGTTTTCTTTATCCATTTGAATCATCTACCCACCAAGCACCTATGTGTCGTACTCAGCACTCTGTTGGCCGCATGAAGAATTTAACATCCATTCATTTTTTTAAAAAGCAATAGTTTTGTTAACCACCACGTCCCACACGCTCTGCTAGGCACCAAGGATAGTGAACCCAGGTGTGATTCTTGCCCTCATGGAGCTAATGTTTTAGTGGGGAAGAGAGATGATAAGTGAGTCAAAATAAAATAAAGTGATTACCAGTGATTATGAAAAGTGCTATGAAGGAAGGTGAGTGGGAAAGGGCAAGGGTTGGTGTGACCTCTGATCAGGTGTCGAGGGAGGGCTGAGGGATGAGAAGGACCCAGCAGTGTGGAGAGCAGATCGTGGGCGAGCCGGGAGGAGGGAACGGGGGAGAGAGGCTTTGCTGAGGGAAGGAGCACGATGTTGTCTTCTAGGAACTCTGGGACCTGCAGTGCAGTGGAGGGGGAGAAAGCTCTAGGAAATGGGGCTGAAGGGAGAAAGGCAGCAGCCAGAGCTCACGAGGTCTCACAGACAGGGTCACGTGTGCATTTTATTCTAGCGCCAGTGGGAAGCCTTGATGATGTTTTGTTTTGTTTTGTTTTGTTTGAGATGGAATCTCACTGTATGGCCCAGGCTGGAGTGCAGGGGTGCCATCTCAGCTCACTGCAACCTCTGCCTTCTGAGTTCAAGCGATTCTCCTGCCTCAGCCTCCTGAGTAGCTGGGATTACAGGCACCTGCCACCGTGCCCGGCTAATTTTTGTATTTTTAGTAGAGACAGGGTTTCACCATCTTGGCCAGGCTGGTCTTGAACTCCTGTCCTCGTGATCCACCCACCTCGACCTCCCAGAGAGCTGGGATTACAGGCATGAGCCTCCACGCCCAGCCAGCCTTGATGAGTTTTATGCAGGGGAGAGATATGCTCTCATTTCCTTTTATATTCCTGAAAGTTATTCTGGCACCTTTGAGGAAAATG
The DNA here is from genome assembly GCF_000001405.40 of Homo sapiens. Lineage (NCBI taxonomy): Eukaryota > Metazoa > Chordata > Mammalia > Primates > Hominidae > Homo > Homo sapiens. The sequence goes on from NC_000006.12 coordinate 157,132,077, forward strand.
AACCAAAAGGAGCAAGACTGGGGTTAGCAAGGCTGAGTGGTCGGTGGTACAGCTGTGGTGTGGGCAGGAGAAGACACAACTGGGGCTGGCTTTGGTAGAAGTAGAAATAAGGAAGAAGTACCATGCACGATCTATGTCGGAGCGGAGTCACCAGGATGTGCTGATGGATGGATCACACTTAGAGGAAAGAAGGAAAGGGTGGCCTTGTGGGCGTCCCATGTGTCTGAGGGAGCATTTGGAGGAGTGGCAGTACCAGTTACAGAGGTAGATAAGTCTCAAGACCCAACAGGTTTGAAGGAGAAAGTCAGAGGTTCTGCTGGGGCGCAGCAGAATACAGCGCAAGCCTGCAGTTGTTGGCAGTTGACCTGTAAGGGGTAGTGCCGAGTCAGGTATTCAGAAGTCTGCAGGCTCTTTAGGAGCCAAGTTTAATGGTTACTGCTTGAGGACACCAGAGGGGAGAAAAACAGCTCTGTGCAGGGAAGAGCTGGTACCCTGGGTCTGACGAGTGGGATCTTTGACCAGAGAGCTGCATCCCACAGATTGGGCAGGGAGCAAAGGCTTGGAGCAGGCACGCACGGCATGGCCAGCCTTTCAGGGGCAGAGGGTTTGCAGTACAGCAGTCGGTCACTGTTGCTTTTTGTAGGGATTTTATCTGCAAGAGAGGTTAAGGTCATTTGCCTTTTCTCCTCCTTCTCCCCTCCCTAATTGAAGTCCACAAGCCATTGGCTTCCTGGGAATCCTCTTGGGAATTCAGGGTTAGGACCAGGGTTTCACCAGGGCACCCTCCAGACCGTCCACGCTGAACTGAGATGTCTTTAGCTATTTTTTAGGAGAATCTTATGGTACCAGCCTTCTCCCCTGCCACCTGCCACATCAGTCCATGTCCATTTTTATGTATGCAGAGATTATGAAACACCTGCATTTATATGTTTCCATTTATTTCCCACTTAGGTTTTATGGCAGGCACACAAAGAAACCCTCAGATGGCTCAGTATGGACCTCAACAGACAGGACCATCCATGTCGCCTCATCCTTCTCCTGGGGGCCAGATGCATGCTGGAATCAGTAGCTTTCAGCAGAGTAACTCAAGTGGGACTTACGGTCCACAGATGAGCCAGTATGGACCACAAGGTAAAACCAAAGCTTCTCCAAAATGCATGGCAGCAAGTTGTAGAAATTTTCTTAATGTGCTAGTCCTTCAAGATTTTAATATTGTAAACATATCGTAAGATCCATTATCTGTTACCTGACAGGTTTGTGAGGTTCATACAAGCCCACAGTACTTTAGCTGCCCATAATGATGGGAGGAATAATTACAGCCACTATTGGTGAAACATTTATGTATCAGACACTTGGGTAGGTGCTCATCATCCTTGTGTTACTAGTGAAGTAGGGGACCCCTATCTTCTGTGACGTGGTTCTAAACGTAGAGAAAAAGACACAAGCCACGTTCTCAGGTTTCTGATGTCAAACTTGGGCTTTGTTGGGTTGGATTCTGGTTTGGCCCATCCCTCTTAGTGATCACCGTCAAAACCCTGAGCTGACGGCTCAGGACGGCATTGCCCCGCACATCCCTCCCAGTTTCTCTCCGAGGTGCCGCATCAGGTCAGCAGTAGTTCTCACTTTCCCAGTCAACCCCAGTGTGACTCTTCGGAGACAGGACAAAGCCTGAAATGGTTACATGTCTTTCACAAGAGAAGATAAGGGAGGAGCAGAGAACTAGTGGAATCATGTCCAGCATGCACCATTGGCCTTCCTCCTTCCTGGAAGTGGATGTAGGTTTTGTCAGATACACACAGCATCCTTTTATCAAGGTTTTTAACCTGATGTGTGTAGGTATACATATATATATGTTTTTTCTAAGTCACTTTTAGCAATAAGACATTTGAATTTACCACCTTCCTTATATTTTGTTTATTTAAATTAGACATGAGTGGATAATTTAGAGAGAATGAGATAATCTGGCACAATTCCCAGAGTTCTCTCACTTCTGAAAATACCAGGAACATTCCAGGTGAAGATGATGAGTGCCACTGGGAAACTGTAGTAAAATGTTTACCACTTCTACAACAAAACCAGGTTTGCCTGGTGTAGCGCCTTAGTATTTCCTAGAGGCCAGGCAAATAGAAGGTGAGGCCCAGTCACCTTTTTACCTGCTGGTTCTCAGAAAATCGCATCTTTCTGATGTATAGTACTTTACAGCTTGAAAAGCGAGTTATTATCTTGTGTTCTGAAGATGTTTTTCCGAAAGATCTTAAACAGTTTCAGTGCTACCAATGGAGCATTGTTTCTTTGCCTTAGAGGGCTTTGTTATATTTACTTTCCAAATATTTCTGTTGGTAGGAAGACTATGGGGATACCCAAGAAAGCAAACGTCTGTATAGAGCCTCTCCTGCCTTTGTTCTAGGCTTGTCCTGAGAGTGAGACTTGGTGTTTTGCCCAATTCTCTTTATATCACATCATCAAGAGTTTTCCATGTTAGTAATTCCAGTAAGCGTTAGGAATTTCAGTCCCAGTTGACAGTAATGGTCTGCTTGTTCCCTGTCAGTGCCCGGTAACTATGACATGTAGCAGTTTGTTGCAGAGCAGAGGCAGGACTGTGGGTCACCCACCATCCTTACTGAACGTGGTGGGTGTCGTCAAAGCCAGGTTTCTTTAGCTGTCATGGAAAGAAGAGAGCTTAGTGGCAGTTGGAAAAACGGTTTGTAACTTGTGGTAGGCACAGAAAATGCGGGCTTTTGCTCCTAATGTAATTGGAAGCAAGATGCAGACCTTGTTCTCAGAATTGGGTGTGGCTGAAGGTCTAGGAGTTAACTCTTAAGTCCATAAGCCCTTCCTGGACTCTGAAATTTGTCTCCATACTCTCAAGTAATTCAATCTTGTAGCCTCTTTTTCTACTCATCATATGTGAAGACTGAGCCTTGGGCTATCTAGTAAGTCTTTTGTGAACAACTAAGGAAGAACTTTTGCTATAGGAATTAATAGCAGGGAAGGAAATTACTATAGAATGGATTTTTTTTTTTTTTTACTAAATCCCTGTTTTTCAGTATCATTGAATGTGAAGACTCTTAATTTAAGAGCACTAAGCCCAGGAGAGTTCTTATCCAAACTGCTGTGTCTCCTTGGAAAACTGCTTACTCTTTCTGAAGTTCTTTTTGTCTAGAAAATGAGAAAATGAGATTATATTATGTTGGCATTTGCTTCCACTTCTAATGTTCTACGAATAAAGCCTTGCTTCAGTTCCAGGACCTTTACTGTTACGGTAGCCCACTGGGTTCCTGCATCACAGTTCAGCTTTTTGTTTGAGTGTTTTAAGGCATGAACCTTGAGTGTAGGTTAATAGTAGAAACGATCTGAAATGAGAATGAATATTCCCACACTCAGCACTCTCTGGTGCCTGAAAGTTGGGCACCCCTCCCAGCACCATGCACCCTTTTCTCCTCTCCTGAGTGACACTGCCACCTTGTTCCCCTCCAAGGCATATGTGCTCCTGGGTTCCTGCATCAGCTCGGAGCGCTGTGTGCTGTGAGGGTCCTGGTACTCTCAATGTCCAAATCAAAATCATCACCTTTTCCGCCTTGGAGCCTCCTGTCCTCAGCAAACACTCAGCAACAGGAGATCACATTTGCAATGTGTTGTTGAGTTCAATAAATACTCTTCACTTTTTCTGTCTTTGTTATCCTTTTAGAAAGGGATCCTAATAAAGGGTTTTTTTTCTTTCTCCTCTTGATTAACTACTCAGATTATTAGTGACATATTCAGCTTCCTTCTTTGCATTAGAAGTGTTCATATCTCTGGAATGATTCACTCATGCAGCCACCCAAGATGTCATCAGTCTCCTTTTTCTGTTTTTGTTCTTAACTTCATGGCTTGCTTCTGGTTTTGCTTTTTTAAAGAAGTTTCAAATATTTCACAGCCGTTTTACTCATATTTTATATGAGAAGCTTTTCCAAAATTGTTAGTAATAACAACCAGCATTTATTGAACATGTTACTATGTCCTGGGTCCTATTTTCTAAGTGTTTTTTATATATTAACTCATTTAATCGTCACAGAAGTTGCTGTTATTACTCCACTTTACAGAGGAAGAAACTGAGGCACAGAACAGGTGAATAGTTTTGCCTGGATGCACAGTGACTACAATGGTCAAGCCAGGATCCAAACCCAGGCTGATTCACCCATTCTCTTAATTAACGGGAAGCCCTCTGAGGCTGTCTCTATTTTGTAAATGAGAACACCAAAGCCTTGAGAAATTTAATAATTCGGCCATGATCCCACAGCTGTTACAGTAAGTGGCTGGGCCAGGGTTCCCACCAGCAGAAACTGACTTACGAGGGGCCTCTCGCGTGGTCATTGGCGGTGTTGCTTCCCACACCTGAGCTGCACTGCCTTCTCACCGGTTCATTCATTCAGTAAGCCACTAGGGATATAAAACCAAAATGACAAATAACTTGCCTTTAAGGAGCAAGAAACAGGCATGGAAACATATATATAAAAAATTACTGGTTGGGCATGGTGGCTCAAGCCTGTAATCCCAGCACTTTGGGAGTCCGAGACGGGTGGATCACTTGAGGTCAGGAGTTCGAGACCAGCCTGGGCAACATGGTGAAACACTGCCTCTACTAAAAGTACAAAACTTAGCCGGGTGCGGTGGCACACGCCTGTGGTCCCAGCTACTTGGGAGGCTGAGGCACAAGAATCGCTTGAACCCGGGACGTGGAGGCTGCAGTGAGCCGAGATCATGCCACTGTACTCCAGCCTGGGTGACAGAGTGAGACCCTGTCTTTAAAAAAACAACAACAACAACAAAAATACTAAAGAGATTAAGAATGTTGCTCATGCCCATAATCTCAGCACTTTGAGAGGCTGAGGCAGGCCGATCGCTTGAGCCCAGGAGTTTGAGACCAGCCTGGGCAACATGGTAGAACCCCATCTCTACAAAAAGATATAAAAAAATTAGCCAGTTGTGATGGCACACACATGTAGTCCCAGCCACGCGGGAGGCTGACATCAGAGGATCACTTGAGCCCAGGAGGTTGAGGCTGCAGTGAGCTCTGATCACACCACTGCTCTACAGCCTGGGTGGCAAAGTGAGACCCTGTCGCAAAAAATAAAATAAAATAAAATTTCTATGATGTGAAGAAGGGGGAATGTTAGAAATGTATATTAGTACTATAAAATCTGAATTTTTAAATAAATGAAGCCAATATAAATGTGTAAAAATACTTAATTACAGTATATTTTATGAAATAGCACTTTGCCACCTTCAAGCAAGCACATGTAATAATAACTACCCTTGCAAAGTGTTTGCAAGGAAAGAGGACTGTGGGGACTTGCTTTAATAAGTAGAAAGGATTATGTAATTAACATGTTAATTATTAATAAGTGAGTTTGTATGGGAAAAAGAGAGCTAAAATCAATTTCATGTCCATAGCCTTTTTATTTCTTAAGGACAAAACTATCTTGTTTGTTTTTTGTGTTCTCTAGAGGAATGTCTATCACACTGACTATCCAGAAATACTTTTTGCATGTTGTTATTAGTTACAAAATATAAACACTCGGGCCTTAGTTTTGCTGTGAGTAAGTAGAGTTACCTTGGGCAAGTAACAGTAGTTCTGAGTCTAGATTGCTCCCAGGCCTCACTCACTCTGTAATAGCCTATGGGAGTCTGGGAAGGGCCACCACACACAGCCATATGGGTCGTGCTGACACCTGGGTTTATGCCTGATTTTTATTGTGTGTGTCTTAGAAAGCAGAGGACTTACAAGTAGGTGTAAATTATTTCTAAATTACTTTGGTAAAGGTGTTTTTCAGAAGGGTTTAAAGATTTTTTTTTTCACTAAAATAAATTAGATGCCATCTAGAAATTTTCCTTTTCCCTTCATTCATTATATGTGTCTCATAAGTTCAACAAAGGCAAACTTTAAATGATATTCAGTTGAAATGAATACAGTTCCAAACTACTGAATTACACAGCAATACTCTTAAATTGTGGTTCTAGAGGGGCAAGGTCTAGATGTCAAGAGTTGTGGGGCCCCTGGCTACTTGTGGGTACCTTGTAGGCCCTGCAGTCACTGAGACCCAGGATTTCAGTCTCTACTCTTCTAAGTTCAGAACCTCCATCTTTGGTTGGTTGGTTGGTTGGTTGGTTGGTTGGTTGGTTGGTTAGTTGGTTGTTGAGACAGAGTCTCACTCTGTCACCCAGGCTGGAGTGCAGTGATGCAACCTTGACTCACTGCAACCTCGAGCTCTTGGGCTAAAGGGATTCTCCCACCTCAGCCTCTCTAGTAGCTGGGACCACAGACATGCACCCCACGCCGGGCTAATTTTTTTTGTATTTTTTGTAGAGACAAGGTTTCAGCATGTTGCCCAAGCTAGTTTCAAACTCCTGGGCTCACATGATCCACCCACCTCGGCCTCCCAAAGTGCTAGGATTACAGGCATGAGAGAACCTTGGTCTTATTATTGAATTGGCTTAAATGCAGCTGCTCTTCTGCAGATGTGGGGTCTGTCTGCCACATAGATTCATTCTGTGCAGTCAAAAGACTTCCCCTGGATGGTGATGCAGATTGACAAGATCCTCTTCTCTGACGTTCCAAAGACTAGATTCTGTGCAGGTCACTCGCCCTTCAGTGTGCTCATTTTATTGTTTTCTTCAAACAGGTTGATGCACTTGATAAGGCCACAGCTTCTTCTTATCTTAACCTTGTTTTTTGGTTAAATCGACAGTGCAAAGCAAAAGGATTAATTCCTTCTTCTATACTGTTATGTTTTACTAAGGAAATATACTAAATCTGTTTTGCTAATATTAGAAAAAACAAAAATTGAATTGGATTATTTCATAGCAAAGGATAGGTGAACGTAATCAAGTCTTCTTGTGATGCCTGAATCTAGCCTTCAAGTTATAAGACGTAAGCGTGAATTTTTCTTAGACTGATAATCATCATGATTTTGATAAGATCATCACATCATGATCTTAACAAAACCTGGGAATTAGGGAGAAAAAGGAAAATATACAGTACAAATCAACTTAAAATGAAAAAAGAAAAAAATCAAGCAACTTTAATTTTGACTCTTGTGAGGCTAATTGTTTTACTGCAGTAATTAACATCAGCAGTACTTAAGAGGGGCACACCTCCTGCCCTCACCGTGTGACCGAGCGCACCACCGTACGCACCATGTCAGGTGGGCTTCATTAAGACAGCGGTGGGTGGCACCTAGAGAGGCAGGGTGTGGACATGCAGCTTCACTTGCCCTCTTAGCAAGGTACCTTTTCCCGAGGTCCATCGCTCTTCCATTTATTCGAATGTTTAAAAGGAAATTACCTGTTGACACATTTCACAAATCTGTCAGAGCTGCACCAGGCACCCTGGAGAAGGGTCCCTCCACCTGTGGTTAGCGGCAGCCGATCGGGACCCTCCCTGGCCCGCCTGCAGGGGGTGCCTTTCCCCTGCAGTCTGTGTGGGGCATGCAGTGCACAGCAGCTGAGCCTGGAGACACAGCCTCTGGAGTGTGCTTCTGATGGTTAGACGCATTCGGTTCTTACCATAGAGACTTGACTGTTCACACTGCAGTTGACTATTGGGTTGGGTTAATAGCTATATATATATATATTAAACTATATATAGAGAGAGCTATATATATAATTATTATTTTTTTTTTTTGAAGATGGAGTTTTGCTGTGTTGCCCAGGCTGGGGTGCAGTGGTGCAATCTCAGCTCACTGCAACCTCTGCCTCCTGGGTTCAAGCAATTTTCCTGCATCAGCCTCTGGGGTAGCTAGGATTACAGGCGCCCACCACCATACCCAGCTAATTTTTCATATTTTTAGTAGAGGCAGGTTTTCACCATGTTGGCCAAGCTGGCCTCAAATTCCTGACCTCAAGTGATTCACCCGCCTCAGCCTCCCAAAGTGCTGGGATTACAGGTATGAGCCACCGTGCCCAGCCTTTTTATATATTTTTTAATGTCAGTGCTTACCTTTTATACATTCTATTTAAGGAATAAATTGCGTATCTGTGCGTGATGAAAGTAAAACTAGGGATATAGTGCAATATGATGATGTAAAGATAGTTTCTCTTCACTAATTATAAAGTTATTAGAACACTTTTTGGGCCAGGTGCAGTGGCTCACGCCTGTAATCCCAGCACTTTGGGAGGCTGAGGTGGGTGGATTGCTTAAGTCTAGGAGTTTGAGACCAGCCTGGGCAACACAGTGAAACCCCATCTCTATTAAAAATACAAATATTAGCCTAATGTGGTGGCACGCGCCTGTAATCCCAGCTACTCAGGAGGCTGAGGCAGGAGAATTACTTGAACCCGGGAGGCGGAGGTTGCAGTGAGCCGAGATCACACTACTACACTCCAGCCTGGGCGACAGAGTGAGACCTTGTCTCGATAAAAATAAAAAGAACACTTTTTGCCTATTCCTTGGCTGATTTTATCTATTCATTGTCAGTTGTCCAACCATAGTTACTATATTTTTTTCCCTGCAGCAACCACATGAGACAGAGAATCTTTTATTGTACCCTTTTTATAGAGGAAGAAACTGAGCTTTGGAGTAACACGTAGCTTTCCAGAGGTCACCTGCCCAGAACCAGATGGCGAGACCCACCTCCTGGGAGGCCTTTCTTCTTCACTTGCTGCCTCGATGTCAGATGCTGGCCTCTGAGCATACCCACGTGTCCTTGGGGTCCGCCTCTGACGTTAGCCCTGGTCCGGGATCCGCTTCTGCCCCGGGAGAGGCAGCGGCCTTCCACATGGCTCCCTTCCCCTCAGCACTCTGCAGAGTCCTCCCTCCTGTGTTTCTCATCATCACTCTCGTCACCTCATGACATGTTCTTGATTTCTTTACTTGCCTGTTTCCTGCCACCAGGACATAAGCTCTTGTCTTCATTCACTGCTGAATCCCCAGCATTTAGCACAGAGCCTGGCATGTAAGAGGCCCTTAATAACTCTTTCTTAAATGAATGAATTTTGCTAAGGCAGAGTAATCCAGAGTCACTGATACTCCGTCCCCTCCTGCCTTGAAGCTTGACCAGTATTGGGTTGACCATTCGATGCCTAAGAGCAGTACCTGGTATATTATCCTTGTGGAGTGAGACTAAGGATAATTTTTGTCTGTTTCTGTGCTTCCATATTTTCTGCATTGAGCGTGCATTACTTTGTAATTAAAAAGGAAGACAATAATTGTTGTAACATAAATGGAAAAAAACTACCAAAAGTGAAACATTGAAGTGACACTGTAAGGTAAGATAATAGGTCTTTCTCCTTCTTTTACACACTTTGTGTAATATTGTAAGTTTTACATTTTAAAGAATTTTAAAATGCATATTGACCTAAGAGAAATATGGTACCTTATGTATAGTTCAGAAAACAAATTCTCTCTATTTATTCCCACAAATAGGATTTAATGCAACTTGCGGTAAGTCAGCTTTCATTTTGATGAACCTGTATTTGTGATCATCTACTTGATGCATTTCTCTGGCTGAAAGAGCAGCATTGTGTGATAGATCTAAGTAGAAAGATAGAATTGAAAGAAGCTGTATTGAAATAGAACTTTATTTTTCACAGAAAAGATCTTACTTAAATATGATAACCAGCAAATAAACACATGGAAAATCCTCAAAATTTTTTTCATTAGGGAAATGAAAACTAAAGCCACGTTGATTTCTATTACATACTGATTCGAATGGCTAATTTTTTTAAGTTGGAATATCAAGTGCTGGCAGTTAGAACTCTCACACAGTATTTGATGGGAATATATACAAAATAGTACAGCCACAGTTTGGCAGTTTCTTATAAACACGTACTTACCATACAGCCAGCAATCTAATTTCTAGGGTTTTACCAAGAAAGATGAAACATATTCCTACCACACAAAGACCTGTATACAAATTTTTAGCAGCTCTACTCGTAATTGCCAAAAACTGGAAACCATATCCAAGAATGGACTACTACTCAGCACTGAAAGGGAATGTACAGATGCATGCAACGGTGTGGATGGATGTCAAAGGCATAATGCTAAGAAGCCAGCCACGAAAGCCTATACTGTGTGACTCCATGTGACGTTGTAGAGAAATAAAATGACATGAACGGAAATCAGATCAGTGGTTGCCAGGGGGTGGCATGGGGATAAGGTTGACTTATAGAAGGGGAAGAGGGAACTTTTCCCTCCTTTCATTTCTTGTGAGAGAAATATTCTGTACCTTGATTGTGCTGTCGATTACAGGATTATAGAATTTTTTATATCTCAATATAGACATGACAAAGCCGGGCACATTGGCTCACGCCTGTAATCACAGCACTTTGGGAGGCCCGCGCGGGTATATTGTTTGAGGCCAGGTGTTTGAGACTAGCCCGGGCAACATGACAAAACCCTGTGTCTACTAAAAATACAAAAATTGCCCTAGCATGGTAGTACACACCTGTAAACCCAGCTACTTAGGAGGCTCAAGTGGGAGGATCGCTTAAACTCAGGAGGCAGAGGTTGCAGTGAGCCGGGATCACGTCACTGCACTCCAGCCTGGATGACAGAGCAAGACTCTGTCTCAAAAACAACAACAATAACAAAAACAACAACAAAAAAAACAATATTTTGTAGTAACTGTTATAAAAATGGTAAACATCACTGGCTACAAAACAAGATAAATGCATATTTAGCCCTAATTCACAACTGCCTTTATCATAGTATGTAGCTAATTATGCATTTCTTTTTTCCACAAGGGTAAGATTTCTGATTTATTGCATTCACCTCCATTTTCTCCTCCATCATATAGGGAATGACGCAGAACCTTGCCCATAGTAGTTGTTCATAACTGTTGAGTGATTGGAACTTAGAAGCAAAATTTCGTATATGAGTGGAAACATTTAGTAGTTTACAAAAAGCAGTAAGCTCTGAGTATGCATTGCAACTATCAACTTTAAATATTCTGGAGTCAGGTATAGAAATTTTTGTGATCTGCCTGAAATGATGATGGTGACTTGAATAGGGTCTAGCTTCTGCTTCCTCTCTCTGGTGCTTGAATGGAACTCCTGGTGGGTAGAAATCTGAATTCATTTGGTGACCAATTTTCCAAAGCTAGTGTGCCAAGATGAACCCACTTGAAAACTGTGGGTCCTTGGACTTGGCTGCAAGACCAGTCCAGCTGAGGTGGGCTGGCCCAGCATCTGCCGCCTTCATTGTGCTTAATGCTGGATCCATCTGTTTTCTGTCAAAGCCAGTGCCAACAAATTACTAACCTATTAGAGAAACATGGAAATAAGATTGCACTTCTCATTCCTGGCTTTTCCTCTCATATTTTGCTTGGCTTACATATTTGGTTTTTGTTTATTTTGGGAAGAAAGATACGTTATCGAGTAGTTGGGGGGGGCATGAATCATTTTTCACCCCATGCACACATTTTTAAAAGATGGGGGGGGTGATGTTAGTGATGTTGTTATGGCCATTGATGACGATGGCAGCTGTCATTTGTTAGGCAGTGCGGTGCCTGGCGCTGTACTTGTTACTTTCAACCTCTTACTCATTATCGTAGTCACTTTACAGATGACAGAACCACAGTTCAGAGAGGTTAAACCACTTGTCACGCTGCTAGGGAGTGTCAGAACCAGTATTCACACCCAGATGCTGAAGCCTGTGCTTTATCCATTGTTGCCTTTTAAACCGTTTTAAGCCTTTAGAAACTATTTTTGTCCAGGCACGTGAGTCTAATGAGGAAAGTTTCAAAGAAAAGAAAAGGGGACTTTGTATTTCTTCTATCCAATAGAGGCTTCTGTAATTAGAACATTTTTCCTTGACATGCACTTTTGAGTGCCAATTCATGGAATCAACCCAACTGATTGGAGAGAAATAGATTGGCACCCCTGGCCTAAGCGCCTTTCTAAGCACAAGTGCACACACGCGTGTCTTGGTGTGCATAGCTGTGCTCGAACGCATGCTCCCCCAGGTTGCAGATGCTTCCTGCCAGGAGACGAAGACCAGCTGCCGAACTGGGCAAAGCTATTGAAACACAGCTCCTCTCTCTTTAGTATATAACATGAGTGAGAGATGGAGGTAGGGTACAGAGTAACTTAACATCTCAGTAGTTTCTTTCCTTTGTGTTCATTAAGATACAGCCCTTGACTCCCAGTTAAACCCAGGAGGTTGGAGTGCCAGCATTTCCGCATTCCAGCTATAAGCAGAATTCTACAAACTCAGAAACCTTCTTTCTCTAATAAAACCGCATGATGGGTATAGTCTAAACGCTTGTTTTCTAAAACAAGACTAAAACGTTATTTCATTTCCTTCTAAAGCAAAGGGCACATAAGTTTTCACTGAAAAAGGTTTCTTACCAACTGAGTCACTTATCCAGTGTTAGGGGAGGGTGGAAACTAGCCCTCAAGTAATGGCATGAATATATGAATTAATTACTTGTGCATTCAAACTATGAATGAGTATATTTATTTTTAATAAAAGCAAGAGCTAAGAAGGAGCACTGTATTTCACTGATCTTATCAGATCATCTGGAAGCGAAGGGGATGTGAGCTTGGGGAGGAGGAGGAGGAGGAGTCTGAATTCCTTCTCACAGGGAAAAGTCGTGAGGACTGGGACTCTGGGTAAGCGTGGGAAGAGGAAGGGCCCAGCAGCTGGCCCCTGCTCTGTGCCCACCTACCAGGGTGCACAGAAGGTGCCTTTTCCGCCGAGACTGCGTGATGGGAAAACAGACAGGGGAGCCTATGTGTGTCCCGTGGGATGGGAGATTCAGAAGCAACTTAAGAAATTTTTGTAAAGAACTTTGAAACTGATGAACAGTGGTGTTTTTTTATTTTTTATTTTAACTTGAAAACAAAGTTTTGATGGTATCTGCAAACTTCAGCTGTGCAAAAGCAGTGCCTCTTCACGCCGAAGCAGTTTGCCTTTAAGGAGCTGCCAATAAAAAAGCTAATGGCGTGTGGCCCAGCGCACCCGAGGTGTCTGCGCTGTGCCTCTCCTGTTCCTGTTTCCTGTTCCCCTGTGTCTTCCACTTTCTTTCCCAGTTCCTCAGATCTGTTGTTGTGCTCTCTGGCATCCCCTGAAGCCTTTCTCAGCCTTCCAGGTGGTGTTCGGGACTAAGGAAGCTGCTGACTTGACCAGGTCTTACTTGCTGTTGCTAGTGTAGCAGTTTATTAGCTTGTCCCAAGACCGGTCTGTATCAGGAGTCCACAGATTGTGGCCCGCTCTGGCCCACTACCTGTTTTTGTAAATAAGGTTTTACTGGAACATCACCACTCCCATCTGTGTGTGTGGCTGCTTTGGGGGCTACAGTGGCAGGATTGAGCAATCGTGATAGAGACTGTTTGCCCCAAATGCCTGAACTATTTCCTATCTGGCCCTTGACAAAAAGCGTGCCTGCCCACATCTGCACGGACAGTGGCCCGTGCGTCGCCTGTAGGGAATAACACACGCCTCCCGGACAGCCAAATGAAAATGCACACAGTGGCTCTCACAGAGATCAGACGCGCAGTAAATGTGGAGAAGTCTGCAGAGGTCTCTTGCAGATTTGTAGGTGATAGAACTTTATATGTGTGAATTTAAGAAAGCCGGTTTTGACCATTAGGGTAACATTGTTACATAAATGTGCTTTTTCTTAAATATTTGAGAGACTGTGTAGCAGAGTGTGTCATGCTTGGACTCTAAGCTACACTCCAGGATGCCTGGGCTCAGACCTTAGTCCTCCAGTTGTGAGCCACGTGACCATGGGACATTTGTTGTTATTCACAGCCCCGTGCCTTAGGCTCCTCGTCTTCAGCATGAGGATTATAATAATGTGTACCTCCTAGGCTTGATCTGGGGATTAAGTGAGTTAACACAAAGAACTTGGAACTGAGCTTAGCACATAGTAAATGTTAAGTGTTTGCTTTTATTGCAGTTATTAATCCAATCCTACCTCTGCTGGAAATCCTTGAGAAGCTCCTCCTTATGGACAGGATAAATCTCAAACTTAGAAGCCTGGTACACAAGGCCCTGCCAGACCCAGCCTCTCCCCTCTATCCCCCCGTCAGCCACACACAGCGCCCCAGTGGCTGTCCCAAGTCAGTCTGCCCTTGCCATTAAGCCGGTGTCCCCAGCCTCTCAGCCATAAGTGCCCTTTCCCCTCTTCTGCCACAGTCCCCAGCCAACAATGAAACCCCCATCAAGTGGCACCAACAATTTTGATACTTTACATCCATTATATGGTTTAATCCTGAGAACACCTCTTCATGTGGACAGTGTTAGGATTATCTGTTTTACAGAGAAGAGAATGAAACAAGAAAAGATGCAAGCAACTCCCCTAAGGTCCTACAGGCAGGCAGTGCAGAGGCTCACCCAGCTGCAGGCTCTCCCAGCCCCTGAAGCCAGCTCCTGAGGGTTCAGCTCCAGAAGTGCTCATTCAGAGGACTCTCCACCAACCCCCACCAAGGGGACCCTCAAGCCCTCAGCCCCCATCAGACTCACTCTCCCTTCTCTCTTGCACTTTTCACATTGCATGCTTTGTTTTGCTTTTATCCTTTTTCTTGTTTTCACCCTTGCTGCTTTACTGCACACACACACACATGCATACCCATACGTGCACGTGCATGCACACACACACACATACCCATGTAGATGTGAGCTTCTCGAGTGCAAGAACTGGATTGTATTTAGCTTTACGTCACCTGTGCCTAGAACAGCTTCTGGAATGTAGTAAGTGTATAGTTATGTTACATGGATGGAGAAAGGCTTCCAAAAAATAGTAAGGACTGATTGGGAAACACTAATCCATATTCCACACACACTTGTCTTTCGCATTTATGTAATTTCAACATTCAGTTATCAGGAGGCAGCACATTTTATTGGTCAAATACATGGGTCCCCGAGCCAGTTTGCTTGAGCTTCAGTACTAATCTTCTAGCTCTTGATTTTTCTCATTTGTAAATGGAGTCCTGGGGTATCTATATTTCATGTGGTTATTGGAAGAAATGAATGAATTCATTGGTGCAAAGCACTTAACCAAGTGCCCAGCACACACTGTGGTTCAGCAGCTGTTATGATTGAAGTAGTATCATGTGTACCTTTGATTTACTTGAATCTATCTACACACAATCAAAAGGTGTGAAAGGAAAGGGAAAACAACTGCCATCCCTCACCCCCGCCTCCGGCCCTGCCCTCCGTCCCTCACCTCCGACCCTGCCGTCCGTCCCCCACCCCAGCCTCCGACCCTGCCCGCCAGCCCTCACCCCCGCCTCCGACCCTGCCCTCCGTCCCTCACCTCCGCCTCCGACCCTGACCTCCGTCCCTCACCCCCGCCTCCGGCCCTGCCCGCCAGCCCTCACCCCCGCCTCCGACCCTGCCATCCGTCCCTCACCTCCGCCTCCGACCCTGACCTCCGTCCCTCACCCCCGCCTCCGGCCCTGACCTCCGTCCCTCACCTCCGCCTCCGACCCTGACCTCCGTCCCTCACCCCCGCCTCCGGCCCTGACCTCCGTCCCTCACCTCCGCCTCCGACCCTGCCCTCCGTCCCTCACCTCCGCCTCCGGCCCTGCCCGCCGTCCCCCACCCCCGCCTCCGACCCTGCCCTCCGTCCCCCACCCCAGCCTCCGACCCTGCCCGCCAGCCCTCACCCCCGCCTCCGACCCTGCCCTCCGTCCCTCACCCCCGCCTCCGACCCTGCCCTCCGTCCCTCACCTCCGCCTCCGACCCTGCCCTCCGTCCCTCACCTCCGCCTCCGGCCCTGCCCTCCGTCCCTCACCTCCGCCTCCGGCCCTGCCCGCCGTCCCCCACCCCCGCCTCCGGCCCTGCCCGCCAGCCCTCACCCCCTTCTCCGACCCTGCCCTCCGTCCCTCACCTCCGCCTCCGACCCTGCCCGCCCGCCCTCACCCTCGCCTTTGACCCTGCCCGCCAGCTCTCCTGCTGCCGTGTGCCGTGCTTGTGCTGGGACAGTTTTCCGAGATGTGGCAGCCAGCACAAACCAGCTGCTCGATCTGGTACTCAAGCAAAAAAAGAAAGAAAGAAAGAAAAATATTATTCCCAACTTAGAGGAAAACTGGGGCTCATGTCAGGTTCCCGCGTGACACCTTCCTGTGGGGTTTTAAAGGATGATTTTGACCATATGTGCATGTCGTCTTACACGTTGTCTTTTTGAGCCCTTTCACATGACTGTTGAAGGTAGCAGTGATCTAGTGGTGTGATCTCAAGAGTGGTGCTCACCATTTTGGTTAAAATATAAGAATATGTGGTGTTGAATGGATTGAGGCAGCACTCGGTGTCCCTTGCCTATTCATAGGGTTTGTTTTTTGTTTTTTTGTTTGTTTCTTTTTATGACCAGCCTGAATTTCTCTTCATCAGTGCAGTGGTCCTCTGGGGCTGTCTGTATTTGAGTCACTCTCTGAGGGCCTGGGAGTGTGCAGAGAGAGCATGTTTGAGACTGGCAGCTGCACCAGCAGCAACAGGAAGGGCCTATAACGGTCATGACTAATACTCCGTGCTGATCGCATTGTTGGACAAAAAGTATTTCCAGTGAATGTTGTCACAAGTTTAAATAAAAGGCTTTACTTTGTGTTTGCTTTTTGTTTAGGTAACTACTCCAGACCCCCAGCGTATAGTGGGGTGCCCAGTGCAAGCTACAGCGGCCCAGGGCCCGGTATGGGTATCAGTGCCAACAACCAGATGCATGGACAAGGGCCAAGCCAGCCATGTGGTGCTGTGCCCCTGGGACGAATGCCATCAGCTGGGATGCAGAACAGACCATTTCCTGGAAATATGAGCAGCATGACCCCCAGTTCTCCTGGCATGTCTCAGCAGGGAGGGCCAGGAATGGGGCCGCCAATGCCAACTGTGAACCGTAAGGCACAGGAGGCAGCCGCAGCAGTGATGCAGGCTGCTGCGAACTCAGCACAAAGCAGGTACGCCACCCAGGAGCACGCCCCGGGCAGGTACGCTGTGTGTCTACCCGTGACCACGTGACTGCGCACATAGCTGCATTGTTCCCTGGGGTCACACAGAGCAGTAGAATGTCACTGTGCTTGGCCGTTCTTTTTGTGTTAAATATATTCTGTAGCATCGAGGTCAGAGAACTAAGTGACAAACCATGTTTTATGATACATGAGGAAGGAATGTGAGCGGTGAGCACATCAGTCGTGGGAGGTGATTTGAAATGCCTGTGAATAGTCATTGCAGCAGCAAACCAGATCTGGTTGCACAGGGAAGTGTCTGCGTGGTACCAATTGAAGCAGTGACTTTTAAGCAGGAAATACGCTTAGGAACGATTTAAAATCTAAAACATTCAAAAGGAACACACTCCCCACCTTTTTTTCACCCTACCACAAGAATCTTCCTAAAATACAAACTTCGTATGTATACATACGTGTATTGTGTGTTTGTCTAAATGTATATGTGTGAGATTTATATACTTGACATTCTTATGTTATATTTTATTTTTCCAGGCATATCTATCTGTCCAAACCAAAATGTGGTTTAAAAAGCAAATATAATATTTTAGAAAGTTTGAGTTGATAAAAGGCTTTAGCTACAATTACTTACTCATTTTTAATCCCGACTTAAAAATTAATTTTGAAGTAAATACTTGACCTGGATAAAAATAACATAATTAAAAATTTATAAGGCAAAGGTGAATATGTTTTAAAAGCACATGTAAATATGTTTTAAAGCAACATACTTTGAAAGATGTGTATCTTAATGATATCTTCAGAAGCAAAGTAGAAGATTCCGATTTTTGTCAAAGGGAAGCAAAAGCTAAGGTGTGTGTGCGTGTGTGCATGTGTGTGCGTGTGTTTTTAAATGTGTCTTTTGTTACTTTTCCTCTGAAGCTGCTATCTGGGGAATGTGGGACCCCTCCAGTCTTATTGTTTTTTCCAAATAATAATAAATTTCCCTTGAGGAAATAAAATGAAAATCAATCATTATCTTTCTTTCTGTCTCCACATTACAATTACTTAAAATCTTCTGAACTCCAGCAGTCTAGCCCTCTGCCGAACCTACACAGGCTTTAGGGAATATTTTTGTAAACCTGTCTGTGAAAACTGGTTTGGCTGTTGAAATTGAAGTTCTAATTCAAGTTTAAATGAATTGTCCATTGTTGCAACTCATAAAGCGCAAGTTATTTTCTTTTTTTAAGTAGAAAGTATTTGATTGCATTTGGCACGCAGCCTTTGGAGGGACCTCAGAAGATAGCCACAGAGAGCCAGGCCTGATTTTGTGTGGTTACAAAGCTACGCGTGCCCCCTCTCTGAGTCAGTGTTTATGTCATCCTGTAGCAATCAATATATAAATACACATCCATGCATTGCCATTTTCCGTTTCTAATGCGTAGACCATTCCAAAGCCTTGCCTTCAACTTACTGCCCATTTTAGCTCACCAGGAGTTTAAATGGGGGCTGTATATCTTCTTGTTTGCTTTTACCAAAGTCAAAGCTATACTTTAAAATGGTAAATGGAGATTAGAATTGAGAATATTACTTTTCTCTGCCTGTCCCCACCCTTTCGTTGGAGGCATTTTCTGTACCCCCCACCCCTCAGGCAGCGGCAGGATGCAGGGTATTCAACTTGCCTCCATGGTCTGTAAGCCCCGCACCTATGTGTGGGGGTGACAGATATACAGGGCTCATGCTTGTGCATCAGAACAAATCCCAAGAAGCTGTTCTTCTGTTCCACTTTAGGCCACCATACATTAGGTCGCCTGCTTATCCCAGCCAGTCTGGGGCTGGCGGACGCCCCATGTTTTCTTCCCAGCACCCCAACTATGGCAACTCTCAGGCTCCCATGGTGCACCAGCCTGACCAGTACGGGTAGGTAGCAACACACCCCGACTTGCTGCGGGACCTGGGCGTTTTCTCTGAAACTGTTAACGATCGTGCCGTCTGGCCGCGAAAGGAACACCCAAACCAAGAAAGCGAAACACCTAACAGAAAATCCATCTCCAAGGGGGTTGTCCTTCTGTCCATTTTTGTTGGTGTGTTTGTTTCGTTTTCCTTTCGTATTAACAGTACTGTGGCCGTTCGGTGGAAACCCGCATGCGTCCTCAGGCCCTGTCTGTGCATGGCTTTCGGCATGGCTGCTTTCCTTCATGCCTGAGAGGGAAATAGAAACTTTGATCTGTGTCGAAGACATGATGTCACCACCTCTGGCGTCATTTCCCCCATTGTTGTCATTGTTTTGTCTAGGAACCTGTGTTGTGCAGCGCTGTTCTCATGACTATATTATCACTCCTGCTGCTACAGTGAGCGGCTGCCATACCCACCCCCAAATTAAGAGCACAGCATCTCATTTGACAAGAGACTCACTGCAGTTGAGCTGACAGGCTATTCATAGGACTTAGGAGGAGTTTCATTATATCACCACCAAGCAAATGTCTGTGCCAAAAACTTCTATTATTTTTTCTCCAGCGAGTATCAGAATATTGAAGTCACCAGGAAAATACAACAAAATAATCCAACAGATAATTTTCTGTCTAAACACAGTGTTGCCATATTATTCTCAATTTCAACACAGGAATTACATACAGCAACAAAAAGTATCTCTTCTTTCCTACTACAAAACTGTGTAATATCAGGTTCTGTCACCATGTTTAGGTTAGTAAATGCTCTTAAAGTCTATTACTATTGAGTGAATTGCTAAAAAAAATAATTATTGCTATCATCCTGGGCAGACTTAATCATGTTTGGTAGTTAGTTTTAGTAGAGACATGCCCCATCTTTGGTTAAAATCAAACAGGGAACTATCACCTAGCTTTGTTTAAACAGTAAACTTATAGAACTATGCTTTCACTACTGGTTATGAATGCCTGACAGAGCTTTTTAGTAGTTTTATATTCAGTTTACATTTATTTAGACAGAACAAATGATAATTTTGGAATCGAGAGTTCTAAAGTCTGTAAACATGGCCCTAAATGTGGACCAACAAATATAGAATCCTGTAAACATCATCCCCAAAGTGAAATAACAAATATAGAATGAGGTAAACATGGTTATTCTTGGGAAATTGGCTTTTCCTCTTTCTTACTTTCTTGTGGTACCTTCAAGGTCAATTCATGAGTCAGTAGGAAGATAACAGTCGGAGGAAGCAAGCATTCATCATCTGCAGCTAATCCATAGGATCTGTCCTTTTACCAACTCCAGAGGCCTCTTTAGACCCACAAAGCTAGTTTGACTGTGCCTTGCCAAACCACATTAAGCAGCTGTGTAAAATGAATTTAAATGGCATGCATCAGAGTGAAATCTCTTCCACTGGGGCAGAAAATCGATGTTAGCTAACCAGCACGAGGAGATCAAATCTGTATTTCAGCCAGCAGCATCCAGATAGCTTCCTTAGAGTACAACACCTCCTCCTTAATTAAAAATAAGAAAAAGAAAAATGTTGGCGTTATTCTATGTAAATCTTATAAAGCACACTTGGCAAGGGCTCATATTCATAGCCCCATGACTGTTAGCTGTGAATTTTAACTTTTATGTCTACACTATTCTTTCTAAAAAAAGAAAGAAGTTAAGTTTTATTTCTATTTTAAATCTTCCTTCTGTTCACTTCGCAATGCACATAACCTGTGTTGTGCCTTTTTTAAAAGCAGAAGCTTGAATCTGAGAAAACATGTGTATGACATGTTTTAGTGCTCTGGGTTGAGAAATCTGATTTTCAACATGCTTTTGCTTTACTTATTTAACAGCTTGTTGCAGCAAACTCGTGGTTTTGCTTTGATTTTTGTTCCCCCATTGATGGCTCTGTTAGGTTGAAGTTAGGTTGGCGATTAGAAAAGCTAGTTTGCTAAATGTTAGTTTCTCTTTGGGAGAGGAAGAAATGGCATAGTGTGGGATTCACAGAGCTTGTCAGAATGACTTCTTTCTCAAGGCACAATCCCAAAGGACCTAGAGCCCATGGAAGAATCTGAAAAGGACAAATTAATGATGAAGGTGGAGCGTGAGTGAGTGTGTGTCTGCAATTAGATAAAAACAGAATGCTCATTGTAAAAATGAAGGATTGGGGCAATTATGCTTCAGATTTTCTCAGCTGGTCAAGTATAAGATAGTAGAGAGAAAAAACATGCAAGTTTAACTGGTTAGAAACTGTTTTATTAATTTCTTTGAGAGTGACAATATGAAGGTAAAATCGACCTGCTGCATTGAATAAATTAAGAAACATAGATTAATTTTTTTTCTTTTTCACCTTTTGAGTAAATTCCTCATTTTGATCATCAGAGGATTTACAATAGAATCTGGTGAATCTTCTTGTTCACGTACTAGATTCACTGTGCAGTAATATCCAGTCATTTGAAGTTAATGGTTTATAAGTAATATCTGTACAGAACCCTCCTCCTTCTACACACTGATACCCTTTTTATCTGAAAATGCATTGTTGTGTACAGTTTTAAAGCATTGCTAGTTAAGGAATTTACTTTTGAAGATATAAGAAACAGAGAGTTGGAAATACTAGCTGATCTTACTAAAAGCCTACTTCAGGAATGGCAAATTAGTTCCATCCATCTGTAGATCAGTTCTCGTGGCTCTCTGTAGCATCATTTTGGAGGATTCTGAGCCATTACCTGAGCATAGGTGAGCCAAAGTTTGCCAGAAGCTTAGGAAGAACTTTGGCCTACCACTTCCTAAAGAGCATAGCTGTGGATCCCAGGCTAAACACAGGCTTTAATATAGCTCACTACAACCTCAAATTCCTGGGCTCAAGCAATTCTCCCACCTCAGCCTCCCAAGTAGTTGGTACTACAGGCACGTGCCACCATACCTGGCTGATTTTATCTTTACTTTTTTGTAGAGACAGAGTCTCACTATGTTGCCCAGGCTGGTCATGAACTCCTAGCCTCAAGCAATCCTCTCTTCTCAGCCTCCCAAAGTGCTGGGATTACAGGCGTGAGCCACCACTCCTGACCTTGTAACATTTTTTAAATGACTGAATCCATTATGTTTAAAGGCTGTGCGTGCAGATGTGCACAGGTAGAATAACTTTCCCCCATTCATTCCATGTGTCTTACGTCCTTTTATTAGTCCTAGATGGTACCTGGTGATGTCCAGCAATTGACAGCTCTTCAAAATACAACTGATTGTGGATTTGGAAATTTCAGCATTATCCAGAATTTTTTCTTGGAAATGAGCTCTAGGAGGAAGCATGATTTCACTGAATTTACAGAAGATCTCACAAGCCCTGGATCTTTAAGCCAGGGTAGATGGACAAACAGATTTTAATTCCTTAAGGCCTGCTACCCTAGCACCTCACATATATAAATTTTGATCAAGTCTTGAGTGACTTGAGATTGTGTCAAAATTCTGGCAGGGATCTTTAAGCTAATACTGTGTTCATAAGAAGAGGTTCCATAAGGACACAGAGTTTCAATTATAGAATGAGCAGATCTCAGAACTGGGAAGGTTTTAGACGTTACCCAGCCTCTATTTCTTGATTTTATGGTGGAGTCAACAAAGACCTACAGGGTCACCCACTCAGAATCATTGAGTCAGGAGCAGGGTCCTTGTCATCTGGTCCTGTTGTTGTTCTGCTCTTCTGTTTTTTTTTTTGTTTTTTTTTTTTTTTTTTGAGTTGGAGTCTCACTCTGTCGCCAGGCTGGAGTGCAGTTGCACAATATCGGCTCACTGCAACCTCCGCCTCCTGGTTCAAGTGATTCTCCTGCCTCAGCCTCCCGAGTAGCTGGGACTACAGGCACCTGCCACCATGCCTGGCTAATTTTTGTATTTTTTTTTAGTAGAGACGGGCTTTCACCAATTTGGCCAGGATGGCCTTGATCTCTTAACGTCGTGATCCACCCGCCTCGGCCTCCCAAAGTGCTGGGATTACAGGCATGAGCTACTGCGCCCGGCCTGTTGCTCTTCTTTCTACTTTTTTGTTTTGTTTTGTTTTGTTTTGTTACACAACACCTCTTCATTTTTGTTCTCCATCATATCTAGTGGCAATCCTGCTCCTAGAAACCAAATAGTAACGAGTATCTTCGTGGATCTTCCACCTCTTGCATTGAAATCTGGATTTTTTTTCTCTTATCTGAATTTCGTTACCTCTGCTGCACCTAAAAGGAAATACATGCTTTGCACATTCCCATGTAGACTCCACGTGCAGCTCAGAGTTAGATTGTTTCCAGAGCCAAGCGCTTTGTGAGATAAGTAACAGTTACTTACTGGCACAAGGGCGGGTTTGAGTTTCTGTCCTTTTCACCATTTGAGGCTTTTACCAACACTGCTTTGGCATTTAACATTGTTGGGACTGGAGTATGGCTGTTAAAGTACGAATTGTGAATTGTGAATTGTGGGGGAGCAGAGTGGGAAGGTAGTGATATTGACACGGATAAAGGTGCACACCTACATGATGCTGGTATAAGCACTACTGTTCCTTTGCTGTCCCTGAGAGAGCCCTTCGTGGACTAACTGAGCATCAGAAGAAGGAGAAGTCTCAGACTTCTTAATTTCAAAAAAAAAAAAAGGGTAAAATGAATTAATTTGAAAAGTCTTGTTACTCTTGACTAGAAGGGAAGTTTTAATACTGAATATCACAAATATAATTCTGTAGACCTGCATTTTAATACTACATCATACCAAAAACTAGGGTCACTGAAATTAGCTTTCAAATGTTTTGTGTTGAGTCCATTAGGAAATTGGGAACTTTAGTTAAGATTATTAAATCTTAGCCACTCATTAACAGGGTGAATAAATTCCATAGGGTAGCTAGATCAGTGGTAACCCCACCGTATTGCTGTTGGAGGAGCTGAATATTTTGGGAGAGAATGTGACTAGCTGCCTTCCTCTGCTTGGAAGAAGCTGGGTCTATTTACAAATGCAAATGAATTGGACTGGCTTGTTGGGTATACAGTGGCTTGTACTGTGGCTCATGTGCACCCCACATAGACACATCTTCCAGCCACTGTTCTTTATTGAGGTGTATCTATAATTCATATCCTGTGTTGCCATTTGCCAGCAAGGCACTTTTTCTGTGTTATTTTCCTCTGAAGCCAGTATGATGCAATTCTGCTGATGGACGAAGAGCTGCTGATGTGGAAATACGTTAATGGAGATAGTGCATTAAAATGTCAAAGAGAAGGGGCAAAAAACTTCGAAATGTGTCAAGCCCCAGTTGTAGTGGGGTCCATGTGCTAAAGAGCAGGAAGTGATTTGTATTAACCAAGAATCCAGCCCTTTGGATTTTGGACAATTAGGTTTTAACATAATAGCTATGATTTGAAAAGTCATGTTATTGAAAGACAAAGAGAAAAGATTTCAAAGCCTTAAACAGATTTTTTATTTCTGCAATTAAATGTAAGCCTTTGCATTATCATCTAAATACTACGCTTTAATTTTTAGCCCCTTTTTTCTCTTCAAAATTTAGAATTTGAATGAATGTTATTATGTTAGTATTTAAAGATTATGATTTCAATTAAAACTTTTAGAATTACAGAACTATTATGGAAGCCATAAAGTGCATTTATAAATCATCAAATCAAAAAGTAGTAAAACACTAATTCTAAAAGGATCAGAGATTTATTTTTTAATGTTAATGAGAGCCAAGGAATCACAGCATGAACTGTGCAGCAGACCTGGGAGGGACCGGAGACCATGAGGTGCCCCAAGCCACTCGTGAGCGTCACCCAGAGATTTTCGACAGCCGCTGTACACCCTCACCCAGCCAGGGGGCCAAGGCGCGGGAGCCTCAACTCCAAAATCCCCTGGTGGTTCTGGTGTGGAAGCCAGCTCAGGTCTGAGGGGGGCCTCAGAGATAACCGCCACTGCAGAGCACGGAGGCAGCATGGAGTGGGAGGTTTGGGAGGCATGCTCCGGACGCTTCCTCCTTATGCAGTCTTCCTGAGGGACATCACGTGAGGAGCACACAGGGCTCGCACTGGGAGCACTCTGGCATCAGAAGCTCGAGTCTGCGCCGACCTGACCCTGACTCAGGCTCTGGAGATCTGTTGATCATGGCAGAGTGTGTCTTCCTAAATGCTTTGTCTTGATTTCTGCCCTTTTGCTTCCTCTCAGACCTCAGTATCCTCCTCATCCCCTGAAATACTCAGTTCCCCACCACACCTAGCCTGCCCTCTTCATTCGGATATTCCCCTCTCCGGGTCTGGGTCTGGCCCTCTCACAGCTGGTGGCTGTGCTCACTCGGAGATGGCTCACCGTGACTCGCGCACCACTGTCTATGCCACCTGTCTTCACTTCCAGCTTCATGGCTCTGTTAACATCCCGCCCCCATAGATACACACTTACACCAGATGTCCTGGGATCGTCACAGCGAGAACCAGCATTAAAGCGCACCCATCACTAGGCGTCATTAGCAGCCCAGCCCAGCAACCCCCACGGTTCTGAGTTACGAAAGGCAGGGATCTTTGGAATTACGTGTGTGCAACAGGAGTGGCAATGGCCAGTGATGCCAACCTGCCAGGTGTCAGGCTGATGACCAGCAGGTGGTGAATTTTTCACCGCCCTGAAATCTGATAACCTCAACAGTGTTTTGGGCTGAAGGCAGCAGGAAGTTTGTAAGTGGTGAAGAGGCTATGACTATGTCTTAGTATATTGCAGCTTGGGGTTTGGAAAGTGTCGTGGGTCACAGGGCATCTTAGTAGCAGTAAGGAGTATGAGAAGCAACTCACTAAGATGCTAAGATTCCTCTTAATCTTGGTCTTCATTCTTATTTTGAACTCCATTTCTGCCATTATATAGATTTAAAAAACCAAACAGGCCGGGCACAGTGGCTCACGCCCGTAATCCCAGTACTTTGGGCTGCCAAGGTAGGAGAATTGCTTGAGGCCAGGAGTTCACAAGCAGCCTGGGCAACGTAGTGAGCCAGTCTTTACAGAAAGTGAAAAACAGTGAGCTAGGCATGGTAGCGCACACCTCTAGTTCCAGGTACTCAGGAGGCTGAGGTGGGAGGATCACTTGAGCCCAGAAGTTCAAGGTTGTGGTGAGCGAGGATCGTGCCAGTGCACTCTGGCCTGGAGTAAAACAGTAAGACCCTGTCTCTTAAAAAATAATAATAATAACAAAAAATGCACAGACAGAAACCTGTAAGATTGTGGCCCTTGTTTTAAAAGTGAACTCATACTGGATTACTTTTGATTGTTAAAATTCCTGCCAGGTAAGAACCTGTCTGAATCCTGTCCTGCACAGAGTGGCTGGTGAGGACATAAAGAACTATAGCTTTGCTCAGCTTGCAAGCCTTGCCTAAATTTTAACCCTAACTGAACAATGTTTGGCTTTACCAAACTAAGTCACTTTGTGGCCCAGGCCACCGTTAACTCAGGAAATCTCCAAGAATTTTTAGGAGGATTTTTTAAAGATCAGAAATTACTGTTTTTCTGTTTCCTGGACAAGTGCATTTTTTATTAGAGGTTTCTACACAATATTGCTGCAACACAGTGATATAGGATGGAGAACTCAGGACCCAGATTAATTTTCTTAAGCCCACTGACAAGCCCATTAAGGCATGAGAGTTAGATAGAACGCATGTAAGATAGATGTGTGCTTCCCCCTCGCACTGCTAAAACTCAGGTTCGTCCATCAGGGATTGTTACCTACTCTGAGTATTGCTGGGCTGATAAGCTCTCTGTGTCTGAGGCTGTGTGGCTCCAGACCTCTAAGAGACCTGCTCCCTCCACTCTGCTTCTGTGGCTCCTCGGCAGCTAAGCCACTTTGGGATTAGCAGTTCACTCCCCTTTATACCTTGTGACCTTGGAAGGGATGTCCTGGAATAAAGGATGTGGCTATTCCTAGCACTGAGAAGTAATAGCCCTCCTTGGAAATAACAGAGATCTTTTCTTAATGGTACTATGATCTCAAGATAAACTTTTTAAGTAAAGATCCTTAAGTAGAATGCAATAGAGGTGACACTTTCTCTCTGTGGGTGACATCCATGGCAGCTAATGTTTCTTTCATGCTGTATGGATCTAGCTTCACCAGACCAGGAAACTGTGCCATTTACATCTTCTCAGAGGTCAGTGGGATGCGACATGATACCAAACCCCCAAAGTTCTGGAGAGTCATCCATTGCAGGGAAAAGACAGGATTTAGGACCCACTGCTACCCCCCTGTGGCTCTAATCCACACTGTGCGCTTGAGGCAGCCCATGTGCTGGGGATCAGCAGGGAAAAGCTGAAATCAGAATCTCTGAACTAAATACCTTCACAGTATTGAGGTTCATTTTTGTATGGTTGCCAGGAAAGAGTCCGTAGTAGCAGAACAATGGGCTTAACAAACCAAAATCAACTTTGAGGATGAAGAGAACTTCCTTAGTTATCAGTTGCTAAAATTCAAGCAACCAGACAACACCATGTTTGCATTTTCTTCACACCCCGACAAGGAGGCCTCTCGCCTCAGAACCCCTGAGCTCTATTTGTTCTCCTGGTTGCTTTGAGAGAAAAGGTGAAGATCAGTGAGCTGCTTTAGGAACAACTAAAGCTGGTTACCTGCATTGAAGCAAAAAGGAAGAGCTGAATCTTGAAATTGCACAACAGGTGCCATTTCAGCAGGGAGTGCCAGGAGCAGAGCTGGTAACAGGTCGGAACCTTCTGAGAAGTCTGTGTGAAGTATGAACAAAAGGGAAAAACGTTTCTGATGTTAGAGGCTTTTAAGAAATCCAGACTGGAATATGCAGTATTCCTCAGTGCTTAGCAAGAAGAGCTTCACCAAGATGCAGGAGTGAAAAATACAGCTCTTTGGAGAAATGTGGAGACAATCAGGAGAAATGCTTTGAAAACAAGAGGCCCTGTGGGCAGTGCCACATTTTAAAGGACCAGGCAAAGACGTGCCAGGGAGAAGTTCTATTCTGAAGAGCTAAGGCATAGCCACTGAAAATATTATTCTTGAGAGTATGGTGACAAAGTTACTACTGTTCCTTTACTTAGAAGTTCTCTTTCATAAAGCTGTCGCAAAACAATATTCTTCTTTGCCCATTCTTAAAGGAAGAAAATAAAATGTAAACATATCAGCTACCAAAGGTTTTGGGGAGTTATTAACAGGGAGCTGGAAGATAACTGGTAGCTGCTCCAGCTTGTCTGCTAGCACTGAATACATGGAAGCTTTCTTTGAGTGAGCAGGCTGCCTCGAAAACAGGTCACATTCGCCAGTGGAGGAAGACTTAGACAAGACTCACAAAGTCTTATATAGAGGGTTCCTGCATAGGGAGGAAAGATGACCCCAAACCTCTGCTTCCTGACCTGAGAGTCCACCTGCCTGTGTGACGCTAGGTGCTCAGAGGCCTGTCCAAAGCCAAACCCTGTCCACATGTCCAAAACTAAGCCCACGCTTTCCCCTGATGTTCTTTATTTCAGTGACTGCTCCATTATCTGCCCATCCCACAAGCTGGACACCTAGGAGACAGCTAGGCACAACTTTTCTTTTCCCCAGAGGACCTAATTCATCACCAAATCCTGTCCGTTTCACCTCCACGATATTGCTCAACTCTCTCTTGTGCTCCACCACCTGTTCCAGGGCACCATCATTTCTTCCTTGGTTGTGGTAACAGCCTCGTAACGGTCAGCCCCACATTCGTTCTTCTTGCCTCCGATGTGTTCTTCCCAGCATGGCCAGAGAACAATGTCTTTAAAATAAACATATTTTAATGCCATTGCTCCTGCTTAAAAACCCCAAGTGTCTTCCTGTTTCTCTTAGGATAAAGACCAAACCCAGAGAACCATAAGCCTGGCCCCGCACCACTCTCGCTTCTTATTTTGCTCTACCGCATTTTCTCCTGGAGAGGGCCTCCTGGATGCCCCAGGGCCCTTGAATTTGCTGTTTCTCTTTTCTCTTCTCCTTACCTGGTTAATTCCAGTGGATTGATCCCTCAGATCTGAGAGATGGAGGGGACGTCATCCCTTCCTTGGGACCTTTTCCTGTGCTCGCCTTCCTGTGAGCTCACATAACACACAGACCTCTCCAAGCCACGCATGTGGTCGCAACTTCGCACTCGCTGCCCTGGTTGTTTGACTTTGGTTGTGTTTGTTTTTAGTCTTGGCCCGCTGTTGTGCTCATTCCTCTCCCATACTTATCTTAAAATACTCATCTTGGACAAGTGATTATAACTGTCAACAAAGCAGTAGGTATTTCTGGTTAATTGTAATTACTTATAGCATGTCTCCCTGAGCAAAAGGGGTAGAATCTATTTTTTTTAGTAGCATATGGTTATATACTTTTACACGAATCTACATTTTTAAATAAAGGCACTTCTATTCTATGTCTTTTGTCTAATGAGACAAATGCCACTTTACCGCCACAGGATTGATTCCTAGCCAGAGCCACTGGCTTGTTGAAATTACATTATTTTGCCACCAGAATTGCTAATGCAGCTGTTGTTGCAGGCACGCTGGTGGATTAGCCACACCAAAAATTGACCAGGGCTTGACGGTCTTATTTTCT
Organism: Homo sapiens; assembly: GCF_000001405.40. Classification (NCBI taxonomy): domain Eukaryota; kingdom Metazoa; phylum Chordata; class Mammalia; order Primates; family Hominidae; genus Homo; species Homo sapiens. Next base: position 157,161,414 of record NC_000006.12, read on the forward strand.
GTTTTGATTGTGTGTGTGTATATATATATATATATATATATTTTGGCGGGGGGGCACATAGTAGTTTTCCCTCTTAAAATATTAAATTTAAAATAACCTCGACTGAGTCTCTCCTTCTCAGTACTGCTTTGGAAGAGTCACCATGTAATTCGGGTTGAAAATCTGTTTCACCAGTGATGCTAGATACATGTGTGAGAAGAGTTTGTGTTTATAAAACATTTTTTATAGGGCATCCTGTGTAATGTTAATGTATGCAATTGGATCTCTCCAGAGGAATAAAGTAACACATTTAGAAATAAACTGCTGGAATTGGAGCATTTCAAGGTTTTGAGTACTGGTTCTGATGACTCTTGGGTTTAAGTGATAAAGTGCCCCAAGTTTTAGTGTTAGCCTAGTTTATGTTGTTAGTAAGCAGTCTTTTCTGGCTTCATAACCCAGCTACATCTACAGTGACAGTCCGTATAGAGAAAGTTATGTACACCTGGCACTCGCACTCATTTTCCCAATAAAGTGTGCACTGCGTGATGCTCATTCCGAACATAACTCAAGGGTGGTATTTGCAGTGGATGTGCTGGAGCTTCCCCCGTGTCTGCCACTGGGATGGGACTTTAAAGTGGCTTCACTCACAGGGTCTCCATTTCTTCTGTCTGTCCCTACCCTTCTCCAAAGAACTGTATCAGAAACCCATTCATTTTAAAGATAACCACACACTTCACCGTCTGTCACTGTTGAGAAAATACAGTGTTGATTGCTAAGATGATAAGGCCTAAATATTCTTCTCTAAAGCATCAAAATTATTTTAAATTTTAATGTAGTTGACTTTAAAACCAGATATTTAGAAAGATGTGGGTACTGCATGAAATTTCATACTAATATTTTTAACTGCTGAAAGCAAACTGTAGTGGGAAGTGATATTCCTCTTTCTGTTTTCACACTGAACCATTGGAAATAGTCGCTTGAAAACTGGTGTTTGCTTTGGGCTTTTTTCCCCAAAGACAGCCCTTTGTTGGGATATGAATATGTAATGTTTGAGAAATCTCCAAAGTGAATAAAAGGAAAAAGTAAAAAAGTTGTTGGGGTATGTATGTGTGCAGCCCGTGGGCAGGAATGAGGAGTGCTGTAGGGAAAACTCACAGGTCCTGCTTTCTCAATTATTCTCCCTGTAATAACCTGGCTTTGCTTATAGAATGACAGTTCTTAAATACCTCTGGTCCCAACCAGATTTAAATAAAGTTCTTCTGGTTATTCCGCAGGTCAGCATGTTTAAGTAATAACTCCCCAATTTGAACATTGCCATTTAAGAGGAGGAGGGAGCGGTGCTGTGGTCTAACCCTGGCCCAGGCGAGCGCAGTGTCGGCATCCTGGGGTCTGGGGTCAACACCACCCAACCAGGGTCACCCCCACAGTGTGCATCTACCGAATTATTGTAAATGTTTGTCTCCTTACCCCCCTGAGATGTTCCTAGGCAGTCATTTCTACAGCCATGGACTCGGCATCTGCAGAGTCAGGACAGCTGTCCTTTGTAACAGACATGAAGCCCGCAGGCCCCCTGGAAGCCAGAGCCCAAGGGTCTGGGGGGAGGCTTTGCTTTTCCGGGTACAGCTTAGGTTTCTGTAGGGTTTCACATTGGAAACATTCTGCTCGTTTCAATTCATGTTTTTGCCTGTTTTTGTTTTGTTGCTTTTCAAAAAAGCAACTGATTTACTTCTTAACACTCCTAATTCATTTGGAGCCGTCCAAATGTTGTGTTGGTCAGAAGGGGCTCAGCAGCCAGGGAGCGCTGCTCTGGAAAGGACCCAGCTGCTGCTGAGGTCGCCTCGAAACCCAGGTCGCTGTGGTCTCGGGCATTGTATTTTCAGCCCCACCAAACAAGGAGCTTTTTGTTGTGAGCCACAGACTCCTCCTAGGTTAGCAACACCACGCTGAGCAGGAGTGCTGGGTTAGTTAGGGCGGCAGCCATCTTAGGAGTCCATCCACAGCCCGCTGTCTCCACTAACCAAAATCAGTGGCGTGCAGTGCGAGCCTTCTTTTGGTATCAGGCCCATGTTGCTTGTTCAAAATTACCAAGACTCTTGGCAGTAGTGTCTCAAGCAAGAGCAAATAGGATTTCCTCTGCAATGGTGAAAGACTGGCTCTCCCCACCCAGACAGGCACCCACTGCTCTGCCCTGGCCACGTGTGGCCTGTGCTCCTGGGAGGACTCACTTCCTGCCCTGGAGGCCCAGTAGGCCTGCAGCAGGTGTCCAGGGAGCTGTTGTATTCATGTCTCCCACTACCCCTCACTGTGGCCAGCTCCCTGAAGCCTGTATTCCAGGACTCCCGGAGAGTTTACACCCTCTGGTTTGTCATCTTTGTACAACCGCAGGGCCATACACCAGACAGATGGAAAGGCATGGTGCAGCAGGCTGCCAGGAGCCAGGCACTTGGTCTCACTGAGTGTTAGCAGTGTTAGAGTCCCATAGAGAAAGAAGTGTAGTATACCGCACTGATAGTAGGTTTGGGGAATTCTATTTCTGCTACTTACTAGCTGTGTGACTTTAGGCAAGTTACTTAACCTTTCTGATCTTTATTGCCTTTATTAATATATGAGCATAATTCCACCTACCTTCCTCCAGGAATCTAAAACATTAAATGTGTATGCCTAGAATGTGCACCAGGCATGCAGTAAATACTAAATAAATTACTGTCACTATCATTACCAGCCCCTCCCTGTTCTGGTGTAAAAAACTGAAATCCAAAGGACCAGAGCTCCCAGAGCTCCAGTGACAGAGTCAAGACCCCTGGCTTTTTAACCAAACTTTTAAAACTACAGATGTGCTTTAATTAAGGACCATTGTAACCAGCAACTGACATCCAAGGCATGGACCTCATTGTTAGTTTAAAGGTATTTCTTAAAACCTGTAGTGTGTGCCTTCATCATCTTCTGGTGATTAAAGATGGACACGGATGGACAGTGCTGTCCTGGGGGAGAAATCCTAGATGAGGGTTGGATGATTACTTCATTCAGTCATTTGCCTGGTGGATTTTCTATTCTGATTCTCTTTTTTACCTTAGTATAAACAAGTGTCTCAAGGAACCATTAGTTTCATACATGTTAGTTACACTATATATGAGACGGAATTTAATGGAAGCTTGAAAAGGCGACCATCTTTGTAATGCCTTTTTTCAAGAATAAAAATGTTCTGTAGTAATTCATCCCTTTAACAATTTTTTTTCTTTTTTTTAGTAATTCTCATGTGCAAGGGATTAATTAGGCCCAGATCCTCCTCTCAGGAGGCTTCCATACCTAGAAGAACCAAGACATGCGTAAATTATTTTAACATACAAAAGAAAGAGGTCAGTGCTACAAAAGGCATAGATGAAGCTAAGTGGAGAGGCAGGGCTTACTTTCAGGAAGGATGACAAGGACAGCCATCACAGAGCAGTGGCCACTAAAATGCATCTTGGAGAATGGGCCAAAATTGGCTGTGACTTGGAGGCAGTCACTGACATGGAAGTAGCCTTCCAGAAAACATAACCGTCCACAAGTGAAGATGCTCTTCAGTGATTGTCTGCTAAGACACTGAGAGCAGTCCCATCAGGCGCCACTTTTGAAGCAGTTACCTAAATGCTCAATTGTCCCTTGTTTGAAGAACACCTCAGAAGGGATACTTCTAAGGTACTTGAGTTAATGCCAACACTCTGCAAGATGATGTAAAGCCCTGAACCATATAGGGATGTGTTTATAGCTACTGTGCAATTGTGTGCATGAGTATGTGATGACCTAGAGGTTAATCAGAAGCTGTTGGATGATCTCAGATCTGTTCTTAATGAACTCCAAGGGGTATTCTAATTCTGATTTAGCAGTCTGCAGTTATTCAAAGTGGACTGTCAGGAAGCTAAGAATTGCAGGCTAAAGTAATGCCCATTTCTCCCTGAGCCACCCTCATACCTAAGAATCTTTCAGCTTCTAACAGTGTTCTTTCCAAGCCATCATGGTACATTAGATTGTACAGAATTTCTCTAGTTTGTCTAATATTTAAAGTAGACCAGTTATGGCTTTGATAGCTTGATTTTGCAGATGGTCCACGTTTGAACTTTTTGTACAGAGGTTTTTCAGTTGAGTCCGCTGAAAATAGGTAAACAAAAGGAACAGTATATTTAAAAAAAAAAATGATTTATGGACCAGACATGGTGGCTCACACCTGTAATCCCAGCACTTTGGGTGGGCATATCGCTTTGAGCTTAGGAGTTCGAGACTGGCCTGGGCAACATGGCAAAACCCCGTCTCTACAAAAATACAAAAATTAGCTGGATGCTGTTGGCTCACACCTGTAGTTCCAGCTATTTGGGAGAGTGAGGCGGGAGAGTCGCTTGAGCCTGGGAAAGCAGAGGTTGCAGTGAGCCAAGACTGCGCCACTGCACTTCAGCCTGGGCGACAGAATGAGACCCTGTCTCAAAAAAACATAAAAATAAAAAAATAAGATTTATGTTAATCTTTTAAAGGATCTCATTTTAAAATGCCAACTATTATACCAAGTGATAGCTTAATGGTGGTGGAGGGGGTTGTAATTAATTTGGAACAGATAGGCAGGGTGTCTTTGGATTTGTACCCCTCTACTAGCTTGTACTCCTAAGATGAAACATGAGTAGCCAAAACTTTGAAAAATTTTTTAAAGGTATGCTCTTTACGTAAGAAGAGCTTGACTACAATGGTGGACTCTTTTGACGCTTTTGCCACCTTGCTATCATTTCTGTTTTTAGGGCAATCTCTACACCACTGTGCAGTTAAAATCTCTCCCCCATCTCGTTACTAACAGTCAGAGAATTGACATTGTGTGACAGTTATCTGCTTCAAATCAGAGAATACTCTTGACCTCTTTGCAAGAGTGAAGAGAAGTCTGACAGGGCGTAAGACAAAACTAACAAGACTAAGTCACCAAGACCGCCTTGTAGGTCTGCACCACCCTGGGGACGGGCGACTGCATGCTAGGGACACGTGCAGCTGATCTAAGTGCCCATCCTCCTCTGTAACGTAAAAAGCCCAACCAACAAGAAGTGGAAGTCTGATGTCTACTGTGGCATTTTAATGTAGGGAAATTGGTATGTTTTTAATAGAACCTAATTACCAAAGTTAAAGAGTAGGGTCGGGGAGAGTTTTGGAAGTGCTTTCTCCCATATTCATTATATCAGAAAATTTAGGTCAAAGAAGTTTTTTTAAAAAACATTCCCACACTGCCCATTTGTTTTTCATTTCTTAACCTTTGGGTTTTTATGTGAGGTTACTAAGTAGTGTTAATAGTCAGAAGTTAATTTTGCTTGCTTTTGTAATTCCTGTTCTTATTTCAAGTTCCCCCTTTCTTGCTTATATTCCTCTATATAAATAATAACCTGGAACACTTGACATGATTAAAAATGTGTAATTTACTTGCAGAACTTGTAATATTTGGAATTGTAAAGGGGTGTATTAAAGAGTTACCTAGCAATAGAATTCAGCCTTTCTCTCCAGGAAATAATCTGTTTTACACAAACATGAAAAGTTATAGCCCCACCCCTTACATAAATGCATTAGTAGAAATGACTGCCAGGGCAAACCACTGCTAATGTGCATGGTCGGTATATGTGTGCTGTGCTTTCTCTTCCTGTAGGCAAGGCAGTTTCCCCGGCATGAACCAGAGTGGACTTATGGCTTCCAGCTCTCCCTACAGCCAGCCCATGAACAACAGCTCTAGCCTGATGAACACGCAGGCGCCGCCCTACAGCATGGCGCCCGCCATGGTGAACAGCTCGGCAGGTAACCTTGGCAGCTCTGCGCTCCTGAGCCCCTCTCTCTCCCCTCTCCTCCTCTTAGGCTCCACCAGTGAATCTGCCTAAACGGCCCGAGAAGGTGGATCAGTTGGCGAAAGTGGGAATCATACTACTTTTCTGCTTCTCAGAAACTTGCTCCATCTATTTAAGACTTGAGAATTACATTATATTTTATGTAAATTATTTTTATTCAATCTGTGTTTGTATAACAAGTGGACATATTTCAAGTATTATTGGAGATTGTTAAATATGCACACTAAGTTCTCTTTCTCTTTGGGAATTATTAGTATTGGAAGATCCTCAAATTCTCTCCATTTGGTAGTGGTGGAGACAAACATTTCGAATTCACATTTCAGGGGAAATCGCTGGAAGGGCAGAGCAAGGGGGGTTTGAAGTACTTTTTACATTTAGGGAAACACCTCTAAATGTATGCTCGGAAGTAGCTGCTTCATAAATGCTCTGTGCAGATTGTCTCTATTGGGAAACTGTTTTAAATGTTTCATGATGTTTAGTTATTTTAACCCATTTTATAATCTCCACAGTAGCGTTCTTAAAAGTCATGCCTGATGATTGCAGTGGATGAGTAGCCAATGTGTGGAAAATATCAAGAGTGTCTGAGACTGTGCATATCTCCCATGATCTTAGACTCTTCAAGACCCTTGAACCCCCTCCTCAGGTTCCGTAACTACCTAAAGACAATGAGTACCACTTTTTACATAAAGTGATGTGTATTTCCAGCGACCTGTTACTCTCTGTCACATGTTAAAATGGATCTCACGGGAGGATTCCCTCCTTCAGAGACTGCAGGGCGTGGCTTAGCCAGTGTGTATCCCGTGATGCCCCGTGATGCGTTAGGAATGCATGGGACAGCCAGATCCTTGGTTCTTTCTGATTACATTTTTTCATTTCTTCTGCCTTCCACCTCCTTTCTGGCCTCTCTGTCTTTGAAAGTTCATGTCCCTGTGTCCGGCGGAACAGCCAGTGAGAGGCTGGGCTCGCCTCCTGTCTGAGCTTCTGCGTCGTTGATTTCTAGGACCTAATTGAAGGGTGACATTCCATGATAATTTCTCTTGAAAGATTTATGAAAGAGGAACACATAGAAACTAGTGGTAAAAATGAAGGTTTTTAAATAAATAAAATAGCCCTTCCTGATGCTGCGTTGAGTGCTTCTCCATCACAGTTTGGTGGATGTTTTACATTCGAGATGAAAGTGAAAAGCTTGCAAACAGCCTGTTAGCTGGAAGCCTCTTCTTTCCCTAATTTCCCTAACCAGTGCTGGCCCAGGTAACAGAATATTGGGTTGTGACATACTATGTTTTGTCTGACTTGCTGGAATAAAATTACTTGAGAGCATTGAAACCACACAATCAGTTTTCACCTAATATCAGCAGCGCTCATTTTCCCCGTCTTCCTTTGGACCCCAGAGCCACAGAAACAACCAACAACAAGCAGATGGCCCAGTGCCCTGCCTCAGAAGATTTATGTATTCCTAAGGAATAGCCAGCTTAATGGAGATTCACAGAGAGGGTTTCTTTCTATTCTTATTATTCAGATAATTCAGCTATTCGTTATTCCGTACAGAGGAAATCTGTTCAGTGAAAGGCCGTCCATCCTCACGATCTTTTGTATGGGGTGGTAGTGTATTTTTTTACTGCATTGTACATTTTGAAACATTGAATTTTTAATAATTTAAACATTTATCCAGTTTTCCTCTACACGTTGATCTGATTTTATCCCACCTTGATTAAGTGAAATGCATAACAGAGGAGGACTGGCCATTTCACATTGGCTGTGCACCTAGCAGCAGGTACACGTGAATCTGCTGTTACTGCGTTCTGATCTCTCAGAGAGACAGGAGTGACGCAGAGCGTTACAGCACAGCCCCTGTGAGCGTTGGGATGCGTCTACCTGACTGCACAAGAGAAGGGCCAGAAATGGTGGGATCACCATCACTCCAGTCTCCTTGGTTTGGGCCCATGGAGATAAATTACCAGTGATAACAGCAAAGCATTTCTCCATCAAAATATACTTTTGGAGAAAGCGAGGACAGCACAAATGATGGCCAGGTCTGGTGGTGGAATTTTCTGAACCTCAGCAGCCAGTGCAACCAGCATTCCAGCAATTCTCTTCACCGAGTTCAAACAACTGTGTTGTAGACAGTGTACGGGGCCAAAAAAAAATCCTCCTGTGTAGTGACAAATTGTTACAGGCTTCAGTGAGCAAGTAATTATTTAAATGGAGTCAGTGTGAGTATAAATGTGACAACTATTTCTTCACTTAAAATGCCAAGGGAAGGAGGATGGTAAGCAGTGGGAATTTTTCCTTCTAAAGAGCTTTTTTGGTTTTGTTTTGTTTCAATTATTTAGATTAAAAGGTTAGAATTATGTATTACTGTGGACAAAATTACAAATCACTGTAATACAATACATGTGTGATTGGTTAGGTTTTACTTATTTGTGTTGAATTTTATAATATTCATTAGTCATTTGCACTTGTCTGCATATAAACCGTCATCTTAAAGTGGACATCTAAATTCCAAAAACTTTATCTCCCATCTGTGGTTCTAAGTTTGCCTCACCAGACGCTACTCTACAAAATGTAGGGCATTTCTCCTACTGCCACCTATAAATAGCACAGGAGCGGCCATATGTGCTGCTGGAACCAGGCTTTCTCACAGAGAGCCCTGGGCACATTCCAGAAGTGAGTCCTTCTGCTAACCTAGCACCACTCAGTCCCAAACATGAAGTGTCCCGTTAATGCCCTGCCAGTACAGGGTATCCCAGCTCCAGCAGGCCTTTACGAAGAAAAAGGCAATCACACTACCACAAAAACTGAGAACCTCCTACCTCTGGACTTCCTGCAGTGCTTGTTAAAACTACCGATTCTGGGGCTCCCTTCAGAATTCTTGAGGTGGGTCCAGGAATCCGCATCCCTGACCACTTCCGCAGGTAGTTTTCATGCATGCAAGCTCAAGTTTGAGAAGCGCCAATGTGGAGGTATTTTGCTCAACAGTCTCCTGGCAGATCTGCTGCCAGCTTTGTGGGGCATTAGCTGTTTACCAGATGATTTGCTGTTTTGAAATTGAAAAAAAGAAAAGATTCACAAAACTACTCCTAGAATATCAATCTTCCAGCTGGATCACAGTTTTCTGTCTTGGGACTTCAGGGTCTCTCACAAAGGAAGGTTTGGGTCTTCAGCCTCATTGCGAGGGGCTGGTTGTCCGGGTTGTTTGTAGAGGTTGCTGGGGTGCTCACTTTCATGCTTGCTCTAAGGTAATGATTTCAAGTGAATTGCTGCCCTCCCACCATATACAAAGGACTTGATAAAAGGGTTTTGATAAGTTATGAAAACCAAATCTCTTAAACTGGGGGAAAATAGATCCTGAGATTATGCCAAAGTATGTGGATGGCTCCAGACTCTGTAGGTGGCTGGGGGAGCTGGTTTCCTTGGAAAGCCACCCAGCATGGCCAGTGTCCTGGGGGTGGCCACAGTGGGGAGGGGGCGCTGATGGCAATGATGGGGTATGCAGGGCCTCCAGGGTACTCGCTGGCCCCACTCTGTGCCATGGAGGGTCCTCCCGGTCAGGGCTGTCAGGGCCTTGCGTATCCAATGAGAGCAGTGCGTCTCCCGAGCCGTTCTTAGATCCTGTGTGTGTTACCTTCACAGTGGACTTTCTGTCTTGGCACATGTAAACATAGTCATGAACATCCGCGGATGTACATAGATCAGCCCTCTGTGTTTTCAAAAACAAGAAATCAAATATTTTGCAGTCTGGTATATTACCATGAAATGAAAAGAACTGTGCATTTCTGACCTATTTCACCATCTTCTGGAAATGATTTTGCAGACTTGTAAGGAGACTGAGTAAAGGAAGAGGAAGAAAGCAGGCATGAGTGTTGAAGTTCGGTTTGACTCATGTCATGTGTTCTTTACGTTCCTTTTGAATATATTAAATCCAGTGTGGAATAGCTGCCTTAGGACCTTGACCCACACTTACTTTAAGAAATCGTTCTAGTTCTTAAATTTCAATGGTAAAGCCAGAGGCTGGTGCTTGAAAAGTATTTACAGTGCTCAGGCAGCACTTTCTGCAGTTACAGATTCTTTACTGCCCCTTTTTATGTCTGAACTTTACATACTGGATTACTCGTGTCAATAGGAGAAGGAACAGTGCCTTGATTTAACACGTCCTTGTAATAGTCGTGGTCCTTCTCTTCTGGGAAAGGAGAAGAAATAGTGCCCCTGGAGTCCCATTGCCTTGGGAGGCATATGGCTCGTTTCAGTGATTCCTTGAGAATTCTGGTAAGAAGTCAAAAATAAGCATTTAAATAAAAAGAATAGTAAAAACCACAGTAAGGAAAGAGCTTCTGATCCATTTAGTAAAATAAAACATACATTTTATAAGGTAGAAATATTAAATAGAACCATTTATTACTCTAAATTCTATCCTTATTTATCTCTCAAAATAATAGAACAGTGCCACTTTTGATAATTTTTCTATTTGCACACCCAAAATGCCTGTTTTAAAATATATAATAGAGAATGAAGAAATTTGGGGAATTTCAGACCAACAATGTGTTTATATTCATGTAAGTCTGATTTTCAAATCAGTGTAAATTGTCAGTAATTTCCATAATACATATTGGCCTAGTTCTGTATGCTTACAAGTTGCGTTTGTGTACGCTAGCACATTTAATGCGTAAAATAGAATCTTACTATTCCTGCCTTCAAAATAATATTCATACATAATTTATTGTAAATACTGACAAAACTACCACTTAAAACCATTGGAGAAGCTCGATGCCACAGAAGCCATGTGCCCATGACTTTACCACTTTCTCTGGAATTGTTTTGGCTGTCATTCCTTTGAACCCGCTCTGAATCAACTAGCCAGGACATGTGGACTCGCATACATAAGCCCCTCTTTTCGCACTCATCCTGCTCTTTTATCCTTCTATTCTTCTGAAAAGGGTGTTTTTTAATGTACAGGTTTACTAATTCATATCTCGTTAGACCCCAGAGACAAAACTGCGTGGAAGCAGTCCAGTCCACTGCTTTGAACAAGGCGGTCTTCGCGGTGTAATATCTCTCAGCTGCTTGAGGTTTCACACATTCACAAAAATAACAGCATTTTTAGCTGATCCCAATAGATTTTTCTCTGCAGCTGCATCACTTGAAAAAGCTTTTTGTTCCAGTTCTTAAAGTCTAAGTATTGAAAGTAATTTGAAAAAAAGAAAAACATCCCAATTATGATTTGTGTGTGTTGTGATGACTTCAAGGACTGACTGGGCTGCAAATGGGCTTTGAAAAACAAGCCAATGCGCCCGTGGAAAAGACGGGATTTCAAAGTGTATTGTTGAGTGTGCTGATGTAAACTCATGGGCACGTGGCAGGGCAGGCTTTTTTGGCAGGACCTGTGGTCTCAACCTGCAGTGATGCTAACGATATTAGCAAATTAGCACCACAAAGCTTGCCAGCTAATTCACCAGAGCCTGCTCACTCTCTCACTGCTGTAATTAAAACTAATTATTTTCTAAAACATAGTAATACATGAATATGTGCAATAATCATTTTGTAGTGGGCAATCTGCGGAGCCTTTTTTAAAGCTTTTTTTTTTTTTCTTGGCACATAACGCTACATGTGTCCCGCCTTGGTTGAGCCAGCACTTTCATTTGCAGAATGTAGAATGGGCCCTGTTCATCAAACCTCAGGTTTATTTTCATTTGAAATAGGCCTGGTTTCTGGTTCTTCCCACTCATGTATAAGGCTCATCATTCTCTCCCGTCTCTCTCCTTCCCTCTCTTCCTCACTCTGACTCTTCACATCTGGTTGGTGCCTCACTCGCAGCCCCTGCAGCCCAGTGTTGCGCAGATGGTTTTCACAGTGGGGTTCTGTAGAAATTCAGCTGTTATTCCCTGGATAGCTACACTGATTCCTTACTCTAGTCTTGTTCTTCCACTAAAAAGAAATCTAAACCCATATTTTTAACCTGAAAATGTCTGCTGTATCTGCAATGAATGTGGAGAAATCAGTTGTTCTATGGTGAACCTTTGATGCTAAAGCCTAAATAGAATTGATTGGATTTCTGAGCCTAGTGCTAGAAAATGTGGTGTTGACTCTGGAGCTGCTGTGGGCCTCTGACCTGGGCATTGAGCTGCTGTAAGGGTTGATGACCACAGGCTCTCAGACAGACTGAAAGGATCCCAGCACAACTGCAAAGTAATCAGAAATCCTTTCCTTCCAAAATTTATTTTTAATTATATTGTTTTTGAAGCCATCTGCTGTGATTGTCTTCCCTTATTGTTGACTAGACTACGTGCAATAGATAAGGTTTTCAAAAGAAACACTGTGAAATGTCAAATAATTTTGCAAACTATAGATTATTTGCACTTATGAAATTGAGAAGGCACTAAATCCTCTAGGACCTAGGTAGAAAATACGCACACCCAGTATTTGCCTCCAACTCCTGATTAGTAATTTAAACATTTGCCTTATTTCCACTTGTTGCCTACTCTTTTGAAGGTATAATAATTTTGAAAAAATAATATTGATATAAGTTGACCTTCATAGGTTTGGGTCTTAAGCACACAGAATGACTGCCCTTTTTTTTAGATAAAAAAGGATTTTGCCAGAATGCGGTGCTGTTTGCATTTCAGAAATTAATATGCTCCCCATTACAATTTCTTTTTTCTTTTCTTCCTTCAAGGGAAATGCAAGGGCCTCCTGCTTCACTCTGTAACTTGTGTTGGCAGGAGTACAGTCTGACGAATCACACATATAATCCTAAACTCTTTCTCCTGTTTTCGATTAGCATCTGTGGGTCTTGCAGATATGATGTCTCCTGGTGAATCCAAACTGCCCCTGCCTCTCAAAGCAGACGGCAAAGAAGAAGGCACTCCACAGCCCGAGAGCAAGTCAAAGGTACTTCCTTCGCCTCTGCACGCGGTGTGAGGTCTGCCTAGCAAAAAGCTGCCATGTCGTTCTCTCTTCACTGGTGTTGGCCGACACTTTTTTTTCATTTGGTCTCCTCTGCATGCCTTCATTTTGTGCAACATGTTTGTAGTCTTCTTTTCTTTCCCCAGCCCCTTCATGGTGTGGATCTGAAAGTTACTAGTTCTTATGGCATTAACTCACGGTTGGGGGAGAGGGGTGGAGGGACAAGACCCACCTAAGAAAAATGCTTCGGGGTGGGGAGAAGTAGGGGTCCTGCCTGGTTTCGGTACTTGCAGCCATTTTCTCTGCCTTCAGTTTATAGCTTCCTGTTTTGGCCGCCTCAGCAACAACAACATACTTAATATTTTGCTTTCCTGCCTTATTTGATAAATAAGGTGAACAGCTTTTTTTTTTTCTTTCTTTCATAAGGGGTAACCCATGCTTAGCATTCCATGTAAGCTTGAAGTAAGCATGGTGGCGTACTGGCCTTCTCCAGCATCCAGCAGACTTACCCAATTATACTAATTAAGAATGTTGTTTTAATACCTTTATCTATGTGTGGTTTTGTGTGTTTGTTTGTACATGTCTTTATATATATATATATATATATAATATATATAAAAAAATTAGTTTGTTAAAGTGGATGTACTTTTTGTTATTTTAAATAAAGTTTGCCCTACCTTTGTCATTTTTTTTTTTTTTATTCCTCTACCACAGGATAGCTACAGCTCTCAGGGTATTTCTCAGCCCCCAACCCCAGGCAACCTGCCAGTCCCTTCCCCAATGTCCCCCAGCTCTGCTAGCATCTCCTCATTTCATGGAGATGAAAGTGATAGCATTAGCAGCCCAGGCTGGCCAAAGACTCCATCAAGCCCTGTAAGTGGCTCTGGTTTTTTTTTGTTTTTTTTGTTTTTTGTTTTTTTGGGGTTTTTTGATAATTAATTAATTCTACTTGAATGCTTGCTTGTTTATTTGTTTTGTAAGACTTTTTCTTCATTATTTATCCATGAAAGGGTTTTCTTTATAAATAATAATATTAGTGACAAAATGAATAAAGTTTGCGTGCATCAAAGAAGTTGATTTCTGGTAATGAAAAAGCTGTTATAAAGAAGCACCTCTATACAAAGCATGCGAGTGTGTTAACTGGGTCCAAACTCCTTCACACAGTGACTTTTTAAAAATGTCTGATCCATTATGCACTTATAGAAGATTCTTCAAATGCGTTACTTCTCCATTTATATGGGAACTAATAGCAGCCATTGACTGAATGATAAGTTTGGCCCCTGACCTGTATTTTGCATGTTCTATCTATTTCAAAACTGCCTACCTGAAAGAAGTAAATACTCAATTTGGGTATGGTTTAGTGTAACATCAGCCCTGCTTTATTTTTAACCCATTTGTCTGAAATTAATAAAAACGTACAAGTTGTTAGTATGTGAATGAATTTTTAGTTTAATAATGTGTACCTATGTTAGAATCAGTTGAGATAGAACAATTGTATTCTGCACAAGACTGCTGATAATCTTGAAATTAAGTGTTGATTTTTGTATGATATATAAATTATAACAAAAATGTCACGGATGTATCAGGGAATTTTGTAAGCCTCAATGTTCTTCTGACCCTAGAAGTGGGCCTTTAGTTTCCTACTAAAGAAATTCTGTACCATTAGAGAGAAAAAAAAAATGGTGCTGAAGCAACCTTTATTTTACATTCATATAAAGAATCAAAAGATCTTAAAAAAAAAAAAACAACATGCAATTACTTGCCAAGAAGGCTTAATTAACATGCTCATTTCTGTAAGGCGATGTATTGACGAGCACGGCTCAGGAAGGCAAGTTGGAGGCAAGAAGACCCTAGCTGTGCAGAATCTGGCAATCTAGTCAAAACCCCAAAAGGAGGCTGCTATTAATTATCCATTCACTGGTTTAAACAGATAGAGCCTGAAGGCTTGAAGAGTTGGTTGTTCTAGTAAATGTTTGTAAAATTCACATGCAGCTCTAGGATAACCAGCATTTTCCCTTTCAGAGGAGGAAAGGGCGATATTCGCTCTTACCTTCTCTGTAGCTACGTTTCGATTTTGCAGCACCCGTGATGAAAGAGAAAGCGCTTCTAGGATGGGTATAGCAGACAGTGCGCTTCTAGGAGGGGTGCATCCGAACTCGCAGGAAGGGGCGCAACTCCTGCATTTTGATGTCTTTGTGTTATTTGCTTTGAGTCTCAGAAGGCAGCCGACATTGTGTTTTTCCCTCATAGTCTGCCCTGGTTTTTTGTTTTGTTTTCTTTTTTTAATAGGAAAAGCATTCCTGAATCAGTAATGCTCTCAAGTTAACAGGTAGAATTCAGATAACTTCTCAAAAGTATTTGTGTGTTGGCCCAGAGGGAGAATTTCAGAGGTTAAAAATAATAATCTTTAAAACTTAAGATAATAATTAAGGGCCGGGTGCGGTGGCTCACGCCTATAATCCCAGCACTTTGGGAGGACGAGGCGAGTGGATCACCTGAGCTCAGGAGTTCAAGACCAGCCTGGCCAACATGGTGAAACCTTGTCTCTACTAAAAATACAAAAATGAGCCAGGCATGGTGATGGGTGCCTGTAATCCCAGCTACTCGGGAGGCTGAGGCAGGAAAATCACTTGAACCCGAGAGGCGGAGGTTGCAGTGAGCCGAGATCGCGCCACTGCACTCCAGCCTGGGCGACAGAGTGAGACTCCATTTCAAAAAAAAGATAATAAGAATGAGCACTTATTAAAAAGAAAGACTAACAATAGACCATATTATATTGTTTAAAACTTTTCATCTTGCTAATTTCATTGACTTATAAAGAAGGCTTGAGATAGTCACAATATTTTAATTCACTAGTTAAGATTATCTCCATCCACTGTAGGAGACTTTATCAAAATCTGACTTTCTCCTTTAATGTAAGACAATAGCAAACTGAATTATAAACTTTGTTTTCTGATTATAATTAAACTTGAAATTGTGTATTTTTTCTCAATATTTCCATATATATGATCTCTTCCTGTACCATAAATAGTTTTAAGAATTTGCAAGCAAACTTCTGGCTCCTGTAGTAGATAGGAACAAGAGAAGCTGAAGTTCACAGTAGTGGAAAATGTCAGATTATTGCTCTGTGTTGAGAAAACAGCCACTTTTTTGAATGAGATGCTAATTCAAAAAGGGGAGCAAAAGAGAGTATAATGAAGAACCTAACATTATCTCTGCTATCAAATCACTGCAAATACATGCAACCCCGGAATAGTTAACTGCTCTTTCTGAGATGCCGCTTCAATTTGGGCTTAAAATTGCTCTTAATAGTGTCCTTAATAAAGCCTGTCTAACAGCAGGTCTGGAAAAGGCAAAATGATGAAGATGCTCTATGCTTTGACAGTGTACTGTGGACCAACATTGTTTTGTTACAGAACATTCTAAAATAAAAATAAACATTTGTCCATACACATACACATACACATATTACCAGGCATATGGTAAAGACTGCTGAAATGTAAATCTGCCTAAAAGACTTGAGGAAAATGTACTTATAGGCTTAATTAAAGTATATGCAAGGAAAACATTTGTGGCACCATAATAATGTCTTGCTGTAATTTTACAGCAATTTCCATTCCTTTTTCTTGCCTCCACAAAGTTTCACAGCAGTAGGATACAATTTTTGCAACACTGAGGCGGTACTAGGTAGGCCTTAGTGACTGGGAAAAGTGAACCCGTCTTTCCGAAGGGCGAGTTTGTTTGCCTACTGTCAGTGGGAGGAGTGTAAATGAAGACCTTTATCCAAAGCCAGCGTCTATGAACAAGGACAGTATGTTTGGAGCCTGGTCAGTGATGAGAGTGATAACGTACATGCTCTCTATTCACTAAGTCTTTAATTGCGCTCTGTTCAGACACTAAATATTGGCTGTGGTCATTGCCTGCCCAGTATGCGAACCATAAGCTGGGGTGGAGGCGTTGAGTGCTGGCAGCGGACGCAACCTCTTGCTCAGCCTTCAGTCTTACTAGACTGTGCCCACGTTCACTCCACACCTTGCTCGGTGAAATCCTGTTTATAGGATATTTGAATCAGCTGTTAATTCCTGTTAGCATGTTCCAAGCGTTTCACACCCTTTTTGTCCATTGGAGTAATCACTCATGGAAAAAAAAAATGCTATCACAGCCCTCCAGCATGCAGAGCACCACGCTAAGTGTTGGTGATCAGCATCCACCCAAACTCTGACTTGTGAAACTTAGGATCTAGTCGGAAAAGTGGGTGTCAGACAAATAGTTACGTGCAAAACATACAGTTTTACACAGTGTGTGACGTCGTGCTGCAAAGGAAAAGTAAAGCGTGTGGCAGTGGTGAAACTGAGGCCCTGGTTCAGCTAAGTGAGCCAGCCTCGGGAGGCCTCTTCCGAATTTATCACGTAAACTGAGGCCTGACCGTGTCAGTTCCCTGCAGATGCAGTTTCCTACATTATGGTGCCATAAAAATGCCTCTTAGAAGATCTAAAAATTATGAAAAAGAACTATTCTCTTAGAAAGTATCTTCATTTAATTTTTCCAGTGTTATGACAACAAATTGAGATAGGCACAAGTTAATTAAACTTAAGTTTATTTAACCAAGGAGAGAAAAGTTAATATATAGTCAAACTGTGTCCATCATTATCTCAGGCCTATTCCAGCTTGTAAGAATCCAGTCCCTTCAGAAGCAAGAACAAGCATTTCTGTGCCCCGTTGCTCTGTTCATGATTCTATTCATCCAGAACCACTCCCCAGTTTCAGTTTAGAGAGGACCAAACCAGGAACGGCAGATGGATCTTACAAACAGGATATTGGTTGAGCTAATTGGAGCAATTTTAAATTGAAATGATTGCCTTTATTTGTCTTATCTTTAAACTGAATCTCAAACTTTTACCTCAGTTTTTTACAAATAAAATGCAAGAGGGAAGTTGTTTTACTGTTAACTGATTATAGATTATAATGCCTTTTTCTTCATGTTCTTATTTCAATTTTTCACTTTTGAAAACGTTGGACCCATTTTTTTAAGTGTAACTCCCCAAAGAAGAAAAAAACTCTATACTAAAATTTAGAAACCTCCTAATAATAACTGTCCCGTTAATAAAAAAGAAAACTCCATACTAAAATTTAGGAACCTGTTTTTAATAACTGTCCCATTAATGACGGCAGAGCTTCTGAGGTGCTGCCCGGATGAGAGTCTTGTGTAAAGTGTGTTAGAGCAGCCTCTTTTCCTAGTCAAGTAGGCCTTGGGTACAAGGATATGAAAAATAAGCTTTAAAAATTTATTTGGATATATAGTTTCTATATTCTAAGTGTACATATGGGTTTATAGACATATATATATTCACACATATATGAATATGTATACATATATATTTTTTAAGCTCTTATCTAAAGTGGTTTTTAAGTGATGTGAAGTTTAACCTCAGCATCAAAGTATATTCTAAAATATAAAACAACTATTTTTTATCATTCTACATTTTTTATTTACATCAACTGTATCACCCATTACATATTTGATAAAGAGGTTATGCCTCAGTAATTCTGAAGCTGAAGGCTTAAAATCTCAGCCCAGTGACTCTGGAGAATCACGTGTTAGTTAAAGGGAAAGCGGCGGCCTCACATGCTGCGTAAGTTTCATTCTCAGGCATCCTTTCTGAGGGACCTACTTTTACTGGAGATCATTCTGCTAAATAAGGTAACATCTAGCCTCAATGGCAGTCATGTTAGTTAACCCCCTAAACCTTCAAAAATATGTTTAAAATTATGTTAAGCTAAATAAAGAAAAAAGGAAAAAAAACTTAAGAATTCTGTCTGTAATAATTTCTCTATATTGCAAATAATAACCTAGGTATGCATAAATAAAGTAAATTATTGTTCCAAGAAATCTTTATTGAGAACTGAGAAAAGATTTTGTACAATAACCCTAGTATTGCAAATATTGTAAATATTTTTACAAATACAGAGATATAAATAAGAAAGGGAAGAGATACAGTTGGCCCGCCTAGGGCTAAAAGTGTTACCTGTCCAGATTATGTAATCCACGGAGTAGGCTTCAGGTGTTCAGAAACGGCAACTCTTGATATTTTAGTGTCAGGTAAAAGCAGGTACATAGAAACCCAAGAACTAGAGTATCAATATAAAACACATGAGCATATAAATACATGGGCATAAAAATAAATGTATATGTTTATCCATAAATCCCAAAGCTTTGGTTGACCCTTAGTTTATCTAAAAAAAAAAAACAAAAAAAAACAAAAAACACACGAGCTTATAGCCCACACCACTGGTTCCCGTGACTGGAAATCTACCTTATATTTTTCAGCAAGCACCGTGTGGTTGCTCATCCTCCAGATGCTGTAGCATTTTAACGAAGACACCCTTTAGCCATTCTTGTTTTGACAAGGAAAAGTAGGAGTCCATTTAATGTTTTGGGCTCTATAATATCACATGTAAAAATTTTAATTCACTATGATCATTCCATGAGCTAGAACCCTTTTATTTTTAAAAATAACATGAGGTGTCACTGGAATTTTGCCTTCTGGGATTCAACGCTTATATCCAAAAAGGGCTTTGTTCTTTTTTGTTTTTGTTTTTAAGTGTATAAAAGGGGGAGTTTGGGCCTTTTATTTAAAGTAAAAGTAAATTCCTAACTAAGAAAATGTATAGTTTGTGCCTGAACTAGTAGCCTTCATTCCTAATTGTTGTGTGATAGCAGTAGTTTTTAATCTCTTCTCTTCTTGTATTTGTTAGCTCATTACTTTTTTCTCACCTTCTTCCCTCTCCCTCTGCCCACCCATGCCCCACCTCCACATGCTGCTTCTGGGTACTAGAAGTCCAGCTCCTCCACCACTACTGGGGAGAAGATCACGAAGGTGTACGAGCTGGGGAATGAGCCAGAGAGAAAGCTCTGGGTCGACCGATACCTCACCTTCATGGAAGAGAGAGGCTCTCCTGTCTCAAGTCTGCCTGCCGTGGGCAAGAAGCCCCTGGACCTGTTCCGACTCTACGTCTGCGTCAAAGAGATCGGGGGTTTGGCCCAGGTAAGAATGAGTGAGGGAGGGGGTGAAAAAGGAAGCATTGTGGATAAGTTCTTACAGTGGCTTTCTTTGAATGTGTGGACTCATTTTTTTTCTCACAAAGGAAAAGCTAAGCCTGTGTGAAAGTCGCCTTCTTGCAACCCACGTCTGTGTGCTGTCAGGGAGCACTGGGGGACCCTGGCTCTGCCACCAACTCGCAGCGTGACCTCAGCAGGTCATGTTCTTGGACCTCAGTTTCGTCATGTATACAGCGGGCCAGACTAGATTTTCCTGTAGGTTTTCTTACAGCTCCAGAATTCTCTGGAATCTGCCAGTAGTTCATAGTAAATACTCAGAAATGTTTTACAAATGACTGAATTAATTATCTGTGTCAGATATAAGTCACATTTACTGCTTCCCTCTATCCAGAACAGGTTAGCAGGAAAATTAAGTGATACTTGTCAAACCATGCCCACAATAACTGGACAGTTAGGAGGGCCATTGCTGTGACCTCCAGCGGGCTAGGCCTGAGGTGTGACAGGGGAGCTGCCTGGGGTGCAGATTTAAGGAGCTATCCACTGTGTGCTTGCTTGACTCTCAGAGTGAGTGCGTCCTGAAGTCTCATACCCCAGGCACCGGCTTTCCTCACTGTAGCCCTCGCTCCTTAATCAGGAGTCTAGTTGTAGGACCACGCCCTGTCATAGGAACAGGGAAAAGGTACTCACTGTGTAACCTTTGTCTTTCTAAATACATGAGTCACCAGCCCCAAAGCATAGATGAGAAAACTCCTGTGTAACAAAATCAAGTACAGGATGGGGTGCAGTGGCTTACACCTGTAATCCCAGCACTTTGGGAAGCCAAGGCAGGAGGATCACTTGAGGCCAGGAGTTGCAGACTAGCCTGGGGACCCCAGTAAGACTTTGTCTCCATTAAAAACTACAAAACTTAGCCGGGCGTGGTGATGCACACCTACAGTCCCAGCTGTTCAGGAGGCTGAGGTGGGAGGATCACTTGAGCCCAGGAGTTCAAGGTTACAGTAAGCTTTGATCACACTACTATACTCCAGCCTGGTTGACAGAGCAAGACCCTGTCTCAATAAAAAATAATATATTTTTTAAAAAATAGAATAATGCTGTAGCCCAGGGACACTCACAGGGTAGTTGGTGGGGCCAGGTCTGTCTGACTCCAGACACATACTCTTCCCATTTGCCACTGGTTCTGGAGTCCAGCTATGCATTAGAATGGCCTGGGCAGCTTTTCAAAGCTGTCAGTACCTGGGCTACCACCCGACATCAATGAAATGAAACCTTCTGTGCCCAAGGTAATCTAACAGGCAGTCAGAATCAGGCGCCCTGCGCCCCACCAAGGTGGCGGGGGTCACTAACTATCCAAGGGCAAGTCATCTGCCCTGCAGGTGTCACTGACGGCCTACCGTGGTCTCAGTGCTGCGTCTCGGGGGAGAAAGGGGAGGCCTTCTTTGTGCTTAGCCTTCCCACTAGGTGCCTAATCCATTCCATGGGGGAACTGAGACCTGTGACAGAAAGAATTAGAGCTTGCCCATGACGCTGCATAACCAGCTGCTAAGTCGTGTGATACCACGTGTGAGTGATGGTCAGCAAAGAGAATGATTGAGACACGCCTCTCTCTGACCTGGACTCCCTGACCTTTCCCCTCTGCACCTGGGCTCCTTTGCCTTCTGCCCCTGGACTCCCCTGACCTTTCTCCCCTGCACCTAGCCTCTTCTGACATGGATTTTTTAGAATCACCAAGACTGCTCAAACGATTAGATTTTATCAGCCAGCACAGAGTAGATAGTGTCTGGCTACTTCCTTACTGTGACTGTGTCCACAGTATATATAACCAGGCTGGGTCTGTCATGAGACTCTCCGCGGGCTTATAATGAGGGTTGCTGGAATGTAGCTGGGTTGCATCTTTGTCCCCACCCCATCATGCTGTGTACCTTGTGGGCATCAGATGTGGTTGGGAGCAGGTGCTGCCACCACACAAAGCTCAGCTCCCAGCCTTCCTTCTTAGGTCACACTGAGCAGCGCCCAGCTTGCCATTTCTGAAGTAACCTGAAGACCCACAGTTTGCAGCCCTGCATTCAGTGCCAAAAGAGGGCGGTGGGCATCTCCGGGAGCATCCACAATTTATTATACACCACCGAGTACTAAGTAAATGGACAGAAGAGCCGTGTGAGAAAGTTTGAACCCAGAAATTTAATATTTCATTAAAAACCACTGTCCCCTTACCTCCTCCCTTGCCACACAACGCAGGAGACATCAAAAGGCAAAACCTTCCCCAAGTTATTTGCAAATCCTCATGTTTCATCCATGTGTTTAACCGTTTAACCTTTCATAACCTGTTCCCAAGTGGGAATCAAAAGGTTAAAATAATGCCTCGGATCTTGACGTCACATTTCAGGAGTTCTCTTTCTTTCTCCTCCTTTTGCGACTGTGTTGTCTCCAGCCCTTTAAGCCTCCTTGAGTAAGAGCACCGCACAGGAAGGTGTGCACCTGCCCCGTCAGCAGGGCTGGTGGCCAGTGGCATCGCATCATGCTTTTTAAGTTGGGGGCCGTTGGTCCAGGGGCTCATTTGCCTTTGCACGAGGTGCTGCTTTTGCTTTTGCCTGACACCCCAAGCAGTCTTGGGGTGAGGGGATGGGTACGGCCCAGAATCACAGGCCCACTTCTGAGGGCTTGCAGCTGCTGGAATGAGCACTTTCACATCAGTGCCCAAAAACCTAACTTGGAAAATAGTGCCGTTGTTGCTTTTTAAATGTTTTGAGATGCCCTTTTTCCTTAATTGGAGGTGCAGTGGGATGAGCGTGAGGCGTTGGGAGATGTGGCGGGCAGAAGGACCTCCGAGCAGTGCTTTTTCTGTTGCCATCAGCAGGTTCCCTAATGGTTTTATAACTGTAAATGCTGCCTATGCACTGCTGAGTGGGAGTAATGAGCATTAGTTAAAAGAGGCAAATGAAGAAAAGTCAACCAAGACATTAAGTGCTTTTTTTGTCTCCTGGCTTTAAACAAGCCACTTTGTTGCAAACCAATGATCCTGCCGTGTTTTTCACTAGGTTAATAAAAACAAGAAGTGGCGTGAGCTGGCAACCAACCTAAACGTTGGCACCTCAAGCAGTGCAGCGAGCTCCCTGAAAAAGCAGTATATTCAGTACCTGTTTGCCTTTGAGTGCAAGATCGAACGTGGGGAGGAGCCCCCGCCGGAAGTCTTCAGCACCGGGGACACCAAAAAGCAGCCCAAGCTCCAGCCGCCATCTCCTGGTAAGTGGCGGCGCTGCAGTCACTGGCCCAGGAAAGCCCAGGCGCCTGGCCTGGGAGGTTCCGGGAAGGTGGTTTCACAGTCAGGCCAACAGGGAACTTGGGACTTTTGAGAGGTGGGGGGTTCCTGTGTCGTTTTGTTTATTTAATTGGACGCCCACTGGCAGTGTTAAGGGATGAGAGAATTAAATCTGGGATATGGCCATTTCTGGTTGACACTTGGAAGGCACCCCTTCTTTTGCTTTACCTTAATCAAAACAGGCTTTCGAATTCTAAGCCATATACGTTTATTGCTTATACAAGTATTCAAAAAGATTCCATCTACCTCTACACAAAATAAAGATCCCCCAGTGGCCAGTTTGAATACATGTGCACTTCTAGGAAATGCCACCCTACAGGTTCGACAGCTCGAGCTCCCCCGCCCTCTTTCGGAAATCCTCAGATTTGAACTTTAGTAAAATGAAGCCTGGGCTTCGTTTCTAATGTCCCCTACCCAGCAAGTTCTCACTTCTAGGGAATTTAACAAGCTGTCGTGGTAAGGATCCACACGGCCTTGTTTTGGAAACAGGTGGTCTTTTGCAGCCTTGTTCTGGAAGTCAGGGGTCTTAGGAATGGGTGCAGCGCTGGCCACCAACACGCTCGCAGGCCGAGCCACATCAGTGACGCCTGCTGGCTCCCTTCCCTCTCCTCCCCACTGACAGAGACCCTCCCATTCCTTTCAGCTCCCCTGCCAGCCTTCGTTCTACCGTTTGGCTTTCAGATTTGAAATGACAAAATCATATATTCTGATAAATGCAATAGTAGAGAGGGGAAGAAATTGGCACCTTAGTGCTGGGTGGTGACCTTACTCCAGTAGATCCGACCATTCTCTTATCTGTGTCTGCCTCGCAGTCAGCGACCTTCAGCACATTAGCCTCACTGTTCCTGGTCCCTGTCTATGAGATGTGGCTGCACCCACCGCTCCTGTACACAGCTTGTTCTGAGCGTGGCTGGCAGCCCATGTTTCCTGAGCACTTCCAGTGTGCTGGGCCCTTTTCTAAGTGCTATCATTTCATTTTCACATCAGCCCTGTGACATTGATACTATTTTAAAATCCATGAGAAAATGAAGGTCTCGTGGAATCTAAGTACTTGCCCAAAGCCAACTAGCTGGGGAGTAGAAGGTCTTATCTGGGGCATCTGGTGCTACAGTATACACGATACCCACCAGACACCTCTGGCTGTATTGAAAATACCTTTGTAATATGTGAAATGTTTACACATAGAAGCCAGAGAAAGAGGTCATTTCATTTTTAATGATTTCCTCTAGCTGCTGTCTGGATGGCAAAGCTGATATCCAAGGTTGCTAATCAAGGGATCTCACATAAATACGTTTTAGGCCCAAAGTGCACTTGTAGTGAATATACCTAGAATTACATCTGTAGGCTCTAAAAACAAGTAGAAATCCTCGCTAACCTCATCCTTAAAGATTCAAAGGCTTTACCAACTCAGGTGTCCCTTAAAAACTGGGAAATCTAATTTTAAAAATCTCACAACATTACATCCAGTTCACAGAGTAAAACAAGCTGCCTGTGAACAGCTCTGAAACTATTTTTCCAAAATAAAAACCCAGTGGGGCGTAGGGACCAAAGTGGTGATGTCTGTAAAGATCTAAGGGTACATTTTATTTGCCAGGAAAGAACTCGTGTCACTGAATGGGCTGCACTTGTGTATGGAGAATAGCTCTCCCAGTGTGCATCAGCTTCAGGACGGGGGCCCTGCTGAGGCGTATAGATCCTTCAGAAAGTGGAGGGCCTGTTCTCTTAACAGCCAGCCGTTCCCTTTTCCCCTTTTTTAAACTGTCATTTTTATGGCAACATTATCATTTTAACTACACAAAAGAGCTTGGATTGCAAATGGACTCCTGGTATACATTCTTCTCAGTAGTCCAGATGGAGCCGAGGGCCTGTGACACAGGAGGCAGTGGAAGGAAAGCCTCCTGGTCTCGTCCAGCCCCGAGAGCGCGTGCAGGGGGCTCCAGGCACACACAGGCGTCTGGGGGTCGCAGGCAGAGGCACCCTGGTCTTCAGAAGCCTCTCGATTCACTGCCACCCACACAGCAGGTGGCCTCTCCGATTCCAGTCCCATCATTAGGGAAAGTGTCTGGAAACATTTTTGTTGTTAAAGGAAAATAAAATTATTCCCAACTATTGGCCATGTTAGAGTCTCATTTATTACAAGATTTTTAAACACAAATTTACGGTAAAAATGTATGTTCTTTGAAGTCACTTTTTCCTGGAAGAACATAATTATAGTTTATTTTTTACCAGCACATTCAGGCGAACTAAACTAAAAGATTCTGAAGAAACATTTTAGATTTTTTTTCACCCAATGGTTGCTCTGAACCAGCTAAAATCCTAAGTCTTTTGACTGTATTCTAAGAGCACTCTAAGTCATCTGTCTCTAGTCAGGTTTCAATTTGGGGTGCTAATACAGCTCTAGGCTTCAATTCTGTCAGCCTCTGGGAGGCATAAGCCCCTTGGCCCCTGGGGCTGCACCCCACATATCACTGCCAAGTGGCTGTGTGGCTTCTCACACCGGATGTCTGGGTTCCTGTCTTCCAGCCACCAGAGCAAGTCAGTGATTGAGACTCCCAGGTGAACCAAGGCAAGGCCATGGGGTGTGGTTTGTGTCTTTAAGGTGCCAGTGGCGATCTTGTTATAAAGCATCTAGAAAAGGTTGTGGGGGAGTTCCAATGAGCGCTGTAGGAAGCACCTCCCCAGCCTGTAAGCTGGAGATGGGGAGGGGAATGGAAGGGACCAGGCTGGGAGAAGTGGGGCAGGGGTGGGGCATGGAGCTCCACATTCGGTTAATAAGTCTGTAACCAAAAACCCATCCATCTTGGCTGGCAGGTGGCTGACTGAATTTCTATTATTAGCTGACAGGTGATGTCACAAAACCTGTCATGGATCCAACTAGGGAATCCTCAGTGGAAGATAAATGAGAAAGGGACTCAGGTTATAAACAGAGGTGCCCTCTGGTTGACCTCTAGTCACTGTAGACCTGGGACATATCAGCTATTCCTTCTCCCCACCCTACTTCGCTCAACCCCGCCAGAACTAGGGCACCAGGTTCGTGCCGGGTAAATTATCTTCCCAGCTAGGAGCCTGGCCATGCTGTCTGAAGTGTGTGAATGTACTTAACCTTCAGTAACCTTTCCATTGTTTACTTTAGAGTATACATTTGTAGCTTCTGGCAAAAGGTAGGGATGTCCTAGAGAGCCTGCCAGCCTCCTCTATTAATGGAGTTACAAGAGGTTGCATTCATTTTTTTTTTTTCCATGAAAGGAAAGGAAAAAAAAAACACTGGCAAGGGAGATTTTTCCTTTTTTTTTTTATTAGCTATAAATGTGAATACTTGTAAATAAGGGTCTTTCTGAAATCAAGCCTTGCAAGTGATGTTTCCAAGGAGGCTGTCGGCTGGAGCGGAGCCTGCCTGAATTTCGAAAGCAAGTCATTTCTCTTCTGCAGCACTAGGCGGGCAACCATGTCTGCAGGATTATTACCCTTTTATATCTGCAAAAGACGGCTTTCTTCCTTTACTCCAATATACCTTTTTAACATGTGTTTCCAGGGTTTTACGCAAATTTGGTTTGTAAGTATGAGTGAATACATTTTTCTTTTAAAATACCTACAATAAGTGTCAATCTTCTCTGTATAACAAACCCCCATGACATGCGTTTACCTATGTAACAAACCTGCACATCCTGCACATGTACCCCTCAACTTAAAGTTTAAAAAAAAAAAAGTAAATAAAAACTTTTTTAAAAAAGTCAGTCTTTGTGGCATCTCTGAGAACTTCTCTAAGTCATTCAGTGCAGGGCTCACAGGGACGGATGTTACGCAGTGTTCAGCTCTGTTGGCCAGCGTTCATTCCAACCCAGGCCAGAGGCTGGGCAGACCTCATCTGGCTAGGAATGTCTCTGTCTAGCTGAGGCTTTCCGAGTAGAAATAATGTACTCATTTTGATTTCTGACTCCTTCCCAGTGTCCTCTGTAACCTCTCGTGGTTTGTTTCACCTCCATTGCCACTAGAGTAAAATGTGAATAATGGTAGTTGTAGTGAGCCTTGGGAACGTCATAGGAAAGGCATTCTACACAATAACATGGAAAACGTTATTCACAAGCAGCAGTAATCCTGCCATTTGTTCGGGGGGTTCTGCACGTTTTTATCAGAAACTCCATGAGGGCAGGGGTTGTTGTCTTTCTTATCAGTTTGGTCCACTGGTGTATGTGAGCATAGAAGAGAACCTAGACTATAGTAGGTGTATTACTCATTTATTAAGTATTTGTTTAATTCACACATGAAACCAGTATCTATTGATGATCTGGCGTGCTAAGGACTGCAGTAGATGACAGAGCAGGAGCCCTGCAAATGTTACGTTTTTCCCTCAAGGTGAGGTTAATTAATTTTTCCAAGAGTCCCACATAAGGTTTGGAAAAAATCAGTTCAATTCTGTTATTATAATGTAATTATACTTAAAGCCAAATCTCAGCACCCTGATAACAGCATTAAAAAAACGCCAAACCAGTATGACTTGTGCTTTTTGATAACAAATCTGATTTCATAGGTCAAAAAGTGACACTATTAATGACAGCACAGACACATTCAGATGTTGAGAAGCTATTGAAATGACATAAGGCTCATTGTTAATTTGTGTCCTTGCTTTTCATCTTAAACATTTCACATTGTCTAAGACCCAGAACTAAGTTTTCTAATTTCGTTTCTAAAACAGCACAATAATTCATCGAGTTGATGCACAAAAATTTTCATCCCATTTATAAAAATGTACATTTAGATTATTTCCAGTCTAGACAACAGTGAATGAACACTCTTCTGCCTAAAGCCTCCTTTTTATTAGATTATTTTCTTGGGATAAATACCCCAGAAAATAAGTATCCAGTCAAAAGATATAAATGTGTTTTATGGCTCACAAATGAAATATGTTGCCAAATAGTTTACTCAAAAACTTCTTTACTAATTTTTACTGTAAACAATAGAAAAGCAACGAATTTTACAACATCATTATCAGCAATGGCTATTGTTACTGTTTCTAATAAGATGGTGTCTTATTTACATTTATGTCTTTCATCTGTATAACTAGCAAGGCAGCTGGGCTTACTTGATAATCTCTGGATTTCTTCCTGTTTCTCTTGGTGCTGCTACTATCAGCTAACTCGGGATCCTTGCAAGGCCCACAGACCCCCCAGTCAACTGGCAGCAATTCCATGGCAGAGGTTCCAGGTGACCTGAAGCCACCTACCCCAGCCTCCACCCCTCACGGCCAGATGACTCCAATGCAAGGTGGAAGGTATGTTCAAATAACTCTGTGAGGCATACAAAGTCACATTTGTTCATCTTTTAGTTTTCTGGGGCAAACTTCACAGAGAGAAGAAATGGTATTCCCTAGAGAGTTTTTAAATGTTGATGACTGCCAGTTTTCTTCATGTCATTTATCTTGAATGGTTTTTGCATTTGCACATTTCAAGATGGGTTCATCTTCTGAATGTACTGTTTGGAGGTAACTCCTGCTGTATCATTAAGCTTTCATTCTTTGCCTCTCTTCAGAAGCAGTACAATCAGTGTGCACGACCCATTCTCAGATGTGAGTGATTCATCCTTCCCGAAACGGAACTCCATGACTCCAAACGCCCCCTACCAGCAGGGCATGAGCATGCCCGATGTGATGGGCAGGATGCCCTATGAGCCCAACAAGGACCCCTTTGGGGGAATGAGAAAAGGTACGTGTAGAGGGGCCTCCACCCGGCCATGGACCAGTGGGCATTCTACTCTCTGCCGTTCCACAACAGTTCACCTTTCACTCAGAACACCTCTGAGCCCATGCTGCATCGGTGTGGGTCCCAGGTCCCCATCCTACTCCACTTGTGGCCTTGGGAAAAGCAGTTAGCCTCTTTGTGCCCTCATCCTGTCCCCGGCTGGCCTCAGTGCCCTCAGCCTGTTCCCTGGCACATGCTCCCTGTTTCCGGATACCTGCCACCTCCTTACACGTGCCAAGTTACGTTCCTCATCTAGAAATTGGGAAAATAATAGGACCCGCTTCCAAAGGCATGGCGAGGATTAAGTTCCTGCAACAGAGCTCAGAGAAGAGTGGCTGGCAGCCGCGGTAAGTAAGCACGCACTTCACGGCACTTGGCATGGTGGTGTGCTAGTGTGCGCTGGGCGCTAGCTCGTGGATTGGTAAATCAGAGTCGCTGCCCACCTTCAGGGAATCACAGACTCCCTGCCTTCTTACTTCCTGGGAGGAAGCAAAAAATAAGTTAAGCACAAATAAGCAGTTAAAGATTGTGGTTGGTGGAAGACAGGAAAGTGAAAGGAAGAAAGGATACAGATAGCAGTGGCACTGGGTGGCGCGGTGGGAGAGAGGGAAAGCGATTTAGACTGAGTGGTCGGGAGGGAAGGGCCCTGAGGACCTGTCATGGGGGTGGTGGTGGGAATGAGCTTGGTGTATGAGGAGGTGGTGGGTGTCCAGAGCACAGTGAGCATGGGCCCGGGGACAGGCTGAGGTCGTTGAGGCCGGCGGGGCCAAAGCCTTTCGGTGTCTGTGGGCGTATTGATGAATCTGGATTTTTCCCCAAGGTGAAAGATGTTATGCAGGGAAGTGATGTGAGTAGTTTTTTTTTGTGATAAATAAATAAATGACTGGCCATCTCTGGAGAATGTACTGGAAAGAGGTAAGAGTAGCTTTGGGGAGACCACTGTGAGAGTCTAGGGGGAGCTGGCCAACTGGAGCCGGACACCAGCAGCACAGAGGGAACCCGCCGGCAGAGTGTATGTCAGAGGTGCTGGTGGAGTGAACGCGGGCCCTGAGGGAGAAGCTAACCGTGACTGGGCGGGTGAAGACATTATTCCCTGCAATGCAGAGGATTGGAAAAGGACCGGGCTAGAGAGGGGAACCTGGAGTCCCTCTGGGGTGTGTCCCGGTGGTAAGGCATGGAGTGCATGGCTGGAGCTGAGCAGATGTTGGGATCGGTATGATCTTGGAGTAGTAAGTGTAGAAATGGCATCTGCAGTGATGGGATTGATGAGATCCTTGAGACAGAGAGTGCAGAAGTTTATGACTGCCATCAGGAGACACCAGGCTGGCCCTTCCCTTGATGCCTGCCGACTCCCAAGGTTGAGGTGGCACTGAGGCTGTGACTGTCTGAGCCACTGTCCTTCAGTTCTGCCCGTGGTCTACAAGCCACAAGTGGAGACTTGATATTTTGCTCTTGCGCATTCTTCCAAGTGCATTCAAGGCCTGTGAAATTGAAGCATGATGTGTATATTATTGGAAAAAAACATATAGAATAAATAGTGAATAATATTTTTATGGAAATACTTACTCTGGAATCCCTTAAATAATAGTACCTGTGTTGGGGTACATAAATTTCTTGATAATATTGTCTGAGTGGAGAGAAGCATAAAGCCCAAAGCCTTGGTTTTCATATGTATTATAGACCAATGAAAAAGAACAATGGAGAGTCTTTAAAATTTGAGTATAGGGCATATACCATTTAAAAATGAAATTCATAG